>NC_000008.11:136922533-137224611 GCF_000001405.40 Homo sapiens | reverse complement strand
TTTTGCTCTTGTCGCCCAGGCTGGAGTGGAATGGCGTGATCTTGGCTCAGGGAAACCTCCGCCTTCCAGGTTCAAGTGATTCTCCTGCCTCAGCCTCCCGAGTAGCTGGGATTACAGGTGCCCACCACCATGCTCAGCTAATCGTTTTTGCATTTTTAGTAGAGACAGGGTTCCACCATGTTGGCCAGGCTGGTCTTGAACTCTTGACCTCAGGTGATCCACCCATTTCAGCCTCCCAAAGTACTGGGATTACAGGTGTGAGCACTGCGCCCAGCCTGCAATTTATTATACCTAAGCACACTCCACTGTCCACGTTCATCCTTCTCTGAGACTGTTTTCAATGCTAGCCTTCCTTGTTTAGTTGAAATTATTCTCTGTGCTACCCCCCATACACATGCATTGCCTTTCTACAGATAATTATCAATGACCCTTTCTCAGATAAAAGTCACTTATAATTCTAGAAAGTCTTTATTGAACGTCTACTAAAATTCTTGTAAAAAGTCTACAAAATCTACAACATGGAAGGGGAAGTTAAAAGAAAAAAAATGGGGAAAAATAAAAAAGAAATAGTTATAACAGCCACAAGCAATCCAATCAAAGCACTTGTGGATGATTTAATAATGAAGGCAGTGCTGTCTCTACACAGAGAAGGCCATTTCCAGAGCTGTCCTTTGTGGCTGCAAGTAGGAGGAAAGAAAAGACATTTTCTGATGTAATCACACATGGCAAGGGAAAGAGAAACACCTAGAAGAAACTAATAGTTTAGAAAGAAAACTAAATTGAGTGTGCAAAGAATGTCAGGAGAAATGTTATGAATCTTTCTTATTCTTCTTCAGAGAGGAGGGTGGTGGGAGATGGAGGTAATTTTGCCAGATGTGAAAAAATAATGTTTTTTTTTAGACAGAGTCTCACTCTGTCACCCAGGCTGTAGTGCAGTGGTGCAATCTCGGCTCGCTGCAACCTCTGCTACCTGGGTTCAAGTGATTCTCCTGCCTCCACCTCCCAAGTAGCTGGGATTATGGGCACCTGCCACCACACCCAGCTAATTTTTGTAGTTTTAGTAGAGACAGAGTTTCACCATCTTTGCCAGACTGGTCTTGACCTCCTGACCTCATGATCCACCTGCCTTGGCCTCCCAAAGTGCTGGGATTACAGGCATGAGCCACTGCACCCGGCCAAAATAATAAAAACGTAAATAAATAAAGGCATGTCATTTGTCTCTCTTGATCACTAAATAGCCTGGAGTGGTGTCTGGTGCAGGGTTATGCCATGAACAAATGAATGAATCAAGCTTAGTGATGGGGAATAGGTTTTTTTTTTTTTTAGAATTTCTATGTTATCCTATATTAGATGTGTAAATACATCTAGGTATCCCAGGCACCAAATTAGAAAGCTCCTAATACTATAAGCAGTTTCATGTATTGTACTTGAGGCAAAACGTCTCCCAGAAACCTCACTCTGCCTTCCATAAGGCCACTACCTCCTAGAGTCTCCCATGGCACTACCATAATTTATGCTACTCAGACGATCTCTGCCACTGCTCCTACAATTTCTCCCCTTCTCTTCTCATTCATTTATAAATACTAATCCTTCAACCTACATTGCTTGCTGATGTATCCTCTCTGAAGACATGAGGCAATAGCATCTCTTCAGAACTTGAAGTAGGAAAAAATTGCAGCAGCATCTGTTTTTATGACAAATAATCTACCTTAATTATTGAATAGAACAGTAAAGTGTTTTCCAACTATATTACACCAACCACAGGAGATACTAAAAATGACTTTGCTGGTATAATCATAAATGAATTTAATACATATGCATTTGTTTTATTTATGTTTACTTTTAAATAAAGGCTTTATATGTAAGGGGGTAACAACAAATGATTTTTTTAACAAGTAAATTTAAGCAATGAAATTGCTTTAATATGAAAGTAAGTAAATAATATTAGTATGCTAATATGGAAGATCAGTGGAGCTGTTGAACCATTGAATAATATTGGGAAAGTAACAATATAGAGCAGGTATCTGCAAACATTTTCCATAAAGAGCCAATGAAGTGATATTTTAGACTTACATGCCATAAGGCATCTGTTGCAACCTCGAACTCTACAGTTGGAATGCAAATGCAGGCATAGACTATACACAAACAAATGAGTGTGGTTGTGTTTCAGCAAAACTTTATTTATGGACAATAAATATTAATAAAATTTAATTTTCTGCCAGGCACAGTGGCTCATGCTTGTAACCCCAGCACTTTATGGGGGCGTAGACGGGTGGCTCACTCGAGGTCAGGAGTTTGAGACCAGCCTGGCTAACATGGTGAAACCCCATCTCTACTAAAAATACAAAAATTAGCCAGGTGTGGTGGTGCACGGCTGTAATCCCAGCTACTTGGGAGGCTGAGACATGAGAATCACTTTAACCTGGAAGGCAGAGGTTGCAGTGAGCTGAGATTGCACCACTGCATCCAGCCTGGGTGACAGAGCGAGACCGCATCTCAAAAAAAGAAAAAAAAAGTAATTTTCACATATCATAAAATATGCTCTTTCTTTTAATATATTTTTGAACGATTTTAAAATGTAAAAATCATCCTTAGCTCATGCATCCAACAAAAGAAACCTGTGGGCTGGATTTGCCCCACAGGCCAAAGTTTGCAAACACTTGGAATAGAGGGAACAGTATGAATTTTCAAGTAATTCAAAACAGGGTTCTACTTAACTGGGATCTCCAAATCATTACGTTGAGTAAGCCAGGCACAGAAAGACAAACATCTCATGTTCTCACTTATTTGCGGGATCTAAAAATCAACACAATTGAACATATTGGCATCATAGAAAGATGGTTACCAGAGGCTGGGAACGGTAGTGGGTGCCTGGGAGGGGAGGTCATGTTGGTTAATGGGCAAAAATAGTTAGAAACAATAAATAAGACCTACTTCTTAATAGCACAATAGGGTGACTACAGTCAATAATAATTGCACATTTTAAAATAACTTAAAGAGTGTAATTGGATTGTTTGCAACTCAAGGGATAAATGCTTGAGGAGATGGACACCCCATTCTCCATGATGTGTTTATTTCACATTGTATGCCTGTATCGAAACATCTCATGTAACCCATAAATACATACACCTACTATGTACCCACAAAAATTTTAAAAACTGGGTTCCAGTCCTACTTCTGCTCCATATACAGTTATGTGACCTTAGTATTGGGGCTTCGTTTTATCAACATAGATGGTTTTTCTTTGCAAACACAGATGCTGAGCCAACTAGAATATTAAAGCTCAACCAAAAAGTGAGTGCAATCCATTACATCCTCATAGAAAGTGAACCCTCTTCCCTCCTTGCTCGGTTTTTCTCCCTTGGTAGTGATGTTGTCAATTGGGGTAGGAAAACGAACTGATTTAAAATTTGGGGAGTAAATAAAATTGCTTTGAAAGCTCTAAAATACAGTGCAAAATGTAAGAGTTATTTTATACATCAATATTTCCTGAATGCTTATATGTGACAGACACCATACTAAGGTAATAAACTGTATAAACTCACTGATTCTCACACCATCTCTAGTAGGTAAAACCAACCCCTTCATTGGAGGGATTGAAAACTGAGATGTAGGATGTTAGGAGAATTGCCCATGGCTAAGAGTGAGGCAGCAGTACAGCCAGACTTCTCAGGAACTTGTCTAAAGTCATTTTGCTTTTATTATTTTTTTTTTTGTTATCTGGACTGACACGAATTTAAACTCTGAGTCTGCCAGAATATAATACATAATTTTATCATTACTAGTTCATCTTTTCAATCTTCATTACAAATCTATAAACCAGGACAATTACCTACTGTACCTATTGCACTGGTTCAGACTCTGAGTCAAATGTGATCATAACGTGCTTCCCATTCTCTCCATACAAATGCATCATGCAGCTAATCTATTATTATGCACTGCTCCAAGCCAGTTCAGTGAGAAGGAGATATAGTTAATAAACAAATGTAGTGTGAAAAAGTAATTTGATCAATAACTTTAACAGCACCTGGTACTGCTCACTTTTCTTTGCTTAGCAGAACCATCCATTGAATGTATTCAGATCAAGCAACCAAATGATACAAACAAAAGTGGTCATAGATTCATTTCTTAAAGAACCTTAAAAATGCTATGCATTGCTATTTCTGGATATCTAATGCATATATTCAAAGAGGAAGTTAGGTGAATTCACAGCTAGAGACAGCAAATGACTGAATGAGGAACAGCCCGCTAATTACATATTCAAGTCTTTTATTTTTGAAATCACACCATTTAGCCACTTCTCTTGAGGACATCTGTGAATTGGTGCCTTTAAGCCTCTAAGCTGGTTTATATAAGTACCAGGATAAAGCTAAAATTTCTTCCATTCACATAACAAGCCTCCAAAAATAATTGACTTCTTTAAGTGGGCTGTTTCATTTTTTTCTTTTGTGTATAACAGTCATCTCCAGCAAGATAAAATTGGTACTCAGATTACTTTAGTTCCAACAGTGTTTTCTTGCACATTAATAGGGAATGATTGTTGGGGCTTAGTGACCCTGAATGAAATGGCATTTAATAATTTAAAAAACAACATCAGAATCCTTTCAAAATTTTCTGTATGTATAGTTTGTATTTGTTTAATATTAATTTATACTCCATTCCAAGATGTGGCTGCATAATCCATAGCTTTACTTTGGTCCCACAGGATAACATCATAATTACAAATAAAAGATAAGTAATTTGTTGATCAAGTCACACATTGCAGGAGAACAAGGAGGTCTGATTTTACTCTAAATTATTATGATTGTGTCATTATAATTGTTATTTAAGAATCCAAATGTCTCCCACTTCTAACTGTTACAAGTCCAACAAGGACTTCTAAAAGTGACAAAAAGTTACAAGACTGATCTAGAATCCATGAATATACTGTTTGTTATCAGAGGCTTTTTTTCTTTGAAAGATAGAAGACAATGATTTCTCTTCATCTGAGACCTGCATCATGAGGCTTTCACTGGCTACCCAGTGGAGAGTTTTCAAGTCTTAATTATAGACACATTTATTCCATTGTTTCCATATGGTACAGGACAAGGAAATGCAATTAGTCAAATATTGTAATTAACCTTGGGTCTGCATGCTCTTCTAGATCTCAGGAACTAGCTGGAGACCACAAAATCCTTTGTCTTGCCATGAGTGCGTTCTGGGATTCGTCAGCACGAATAATCAAAGTAATTTATTTTGACAGGGAAAATCCATTGCTTTCCGCATCCTGATGACCCAGATGGGGAGGAATTTTGATGGGAAACATAAACTGCAGACGAACAATATTTACTTATTGATTAATTCCCTTTCTTCTTGTGTGCCTTTGCCTTTTTTTCTCTTTGTCTTCCTTTCTTTCTGCCTTCCTCATTTTTTTCCCCTCGACCCAGCTTTGTGATAGACACTGGACTATGAATGTGACTTAAACTTGGTAGCTACCTCTTTTTTTTTTTTTTTAAACTATCAAAGAGATTCACTCTTATAACATCCAGCCACAAAATTAAAACCACAAATTACCTCTTCATCTACAGCGTTTATTTTAAGAAGGTTTACCTTATAGAGAGTTATATGGTAAATACTGAGAGTCTGAAATATCAATTTTTCTCTATCTAAGCCAATAAAGAACTAGAGTGACAGGTTATGAGCTTTGGAATTGGACAGACCGTAATTGAAAATTCTGACTTGATCAACTCATCAGTGTATTAATACAGACAAACTGGATACACTGTAATTTGCTTTTTGTTTTTTTTTTTTTTCTTCAGACAGGGTCTCACTCTCTCGCCCAGGCTGGAGTGCAGTGGCGCAATCTCTGCTCACTGCAACTTCTGCCTCCCGGGTTCAAGCAATTCTCCCACCTCAGCCTTCCAAGTAGCTGGAATTACAGGGGCATGCCACCATGCCCAGCTAATTTTTGTATTTTTTGGTAGAGAAGGGGTATCACCATGTTGGACAGGCTGGTCTCAAACTCCTGACCTCAAACGACCCACCTGCCTCAGCCTCCCAAAGTGCTGGGATTACAGGTGTGAGCTACTGCGCCTGGCCTGAAATTCTTAGTTAAACTTTTTTCTTCACTTATAAAAATGAGTTTATAAATCCACCTCATAGGGTTTAACTAAATGTTATTTAAGTGAAACACATAATGTGTAGTAGAAACGTACAACATTATTTTTTTTTTACTGCCTATTTTTACTTTCCTGACTCTGTTCAGTTGAGAGCTGAGCTGAGTGTTTAACTGTTCCCAGACCAAACTAAGAGTTGGGCTGTTCATTCTCGCAGCCCAGTAAGGAGATGCAGATGAACTGGGAAAGGAGAGAGTTTATTTCTGTAATCGGGTACAGAAGAAGTCCTGGAAAATATCGCCAGACCAACTCAAAAATTACAAAGTTTTCCAGAGTTTATATACCTTCTAAGCTATATTTCTACATGTAAGTATATATAGCTTAGAAGCTTATACACCTTCTAAGCTATATGTCTATGCACATTGATCTAAAGACATAAGTGATTAACTTCTTTCAATGTGTAACTAAGATCTGAGTCCTGAAGACCTTCCTCTAGAGCCTCAGTAAATTTACCTAAACTAAATGGATCCAGGTGCTGTGGTGATTACCCTTATCTTATCTCATGCTAAATCATGGAGGTTTGGAGAGTTCCTTCAAACCCCAAATAAAATTTGGGGTTTGTGGAAGTTGTTTGTGGGATTGTTTGTGGAAGCCTAGGGAATTTCTTCAAACCCCCAATAAAATTTGCTTAATTCTAACTGGGTTCTGTTAAGAATTCCTTCATTATCTTGTCATGCTTCAAGGCCCAGGAAAGGCCTGGGAAAAACTCTTGGTGGGCTTTGGTTACGTCCCAGCCTTTGTCTAAGGGCACTGGCTCTTTCAGCTTTTAATATTTAACTTAACCACTCAGTCAGTGCTGAAACTCTTGGTATGGAGGTTTGCCTGTTCAGCCATTAGGGAGACCTGGCCTGCCACATAACTGCTGTCTAGGAAAGCAGGGAAGTTAATCACAAAGTCTCATTGGATGGACACAAAGCATGATATTTAAACTAATTATTGTGAATCAAGAAGATTTTAATAACTGGTTGCTGTTAAATAAAAGAATGTATGATTGAATCAATAAGAAACTATAGTCACTTCTGCTATAATGAGAGCTCTGGGTTCCTAAAAATCACCACACTTTGTAAAATTGTACAATAAAAACCACAGAACGTACAGGAAGAATGGGGTTGGAGACACAAGATTAAAACAATTCATCAGTGAATCATAAAAGCAATGAAAAGATAGGGATCCAATACAAAGATAGTAGCAGTTTTACATATTAAATGTTTTAGAACTGTAAGAGTTAAAGAAAGAGGAAAGAAACACGAAAAGCGGCTCAACAGTCAAAGACAGGTTTATTTTGGAGAATAAACCTGAGATGGGCTTCTGGCCGATTTCCATCAGTAGCACTCTCTCACAGACTAGGAGTATTTAACGGTTCAGGGTGAGTAAACTTATCACAGACTTAGAATGTTTCTGTGTCAGGGAGAAGTTTATTGCTGGATTGGAATGTCTCTGGTTGGAGGGGAGGTTATCTTGGGGCTGACATCTCTCCAGCTGGAGGGGAGGTTATCTCAGGGCTGGCATGTCTCTGGTCATGGAGGGGTTTATCTTAGGGTTAGAATGTTTCTTGTTGGAGATGTCATTTGTGGTTTATGATCATGCTGACCTTAGCCATTAGGCTGATGCTCTTTGGATTTAGGTGGTTTTTGATCAAGGGAAATTTTCGAATGGCAGTGCTTGTCCAAGATGACGATGCTCCTGCTCTGTCAAGATCTACATACATACTATAGTAAGTGTGGCACTTTACTTTGAAGAATGCTTGGAGCTTACCTATGGACTTGGGTTTCAGTTGGGCTCCAACTAGTGAGATATTGTGAAATGGTGAAAGAATGTTGACCTGAAATCAGACAGAAAGGTGTAACACCATCTATGAATGGGTGTGACTCATAATCCCGGTAGAAAATGAGGTCGCTCATACATGCTTGACATTTGAGCATTTTACATATTCCTATAAAACTTGATTCTGCTGCACTTTTCTTTGTCTCACAGACAAGATCACATATAATCAATCAGAAAATTAGTGTTATCCTCAAATTGTTTCCTAATATAGGTAATAGGGTTGGAACATATTAAAATTTTTACAAGTATTATGGCTGGACTGACGTCAGTCTCATGTAAAATATTACTAGAGCTATCAGTTTTTTAATAGAACCCATATTGTTAGTATGACTTTGTGATTTATCTTCTAAACCCCATGGTGAAGGAGTGCTGTTAATAATAACACTTAGATAACAGGATAAACCAGCACTGTCCTTCGTAAACTAGACTTTAGAGTCATCTAACTAATTGGTATAAGAACAAAGACATGTTTCTTAGTGTAAACACCTTCTTTGAGAAAATAACTGCTAAGTGACTTACCCTACCAACTCTCAAGCTATTTCTTTATTAAAAACAGTACTTTCCCTAAATAATATTATCCATAATACACTGTAGTTCTTATGGTCTTCTCCTCTCTCCATTGAAATAAAAGCCCCATAAGGACAAGAAACTTGGCATTTAGTTTCTTATCATATGTTCAATGATACAGAGCCTAACATGGAGTCTGGAAGGTCTTTGACAAATATTAATAGTTACTGAATGAATGAAGTATTAGTCAATCAGTTGTTGGTAGAAGTAAAGAATGATGATGTGTGCCCATTTGGTTTGAGTTATGCAAGTCAAATAGAGAGAGAAAAGACAGAGTTCAGGCCCTCTGGCATAAGCTACTTAAATTGTTTTCTTAATGGTAGCCCTAGGCAATACCAGGCAAGTCTCTAGGATGAGAAGCTGTAAAGCAACTTTCAGTGGCTTCTGCAAAATTTCTCTAACAAATATTTTGAAAATACTATAGTATGCTCCAGAAAACCAGGATTATGCTAAGCAGCCAGGATCACTGTACCTACCTGCTAAAGATTTGTCTTGAGCTAGCTGGGAGGAAGTACAGGAAATTAGAGTCTCCACAGTTGTTTGTGAGGACTAAACTAGAGAAATATTGATTTGTGATGGTGATCAGGATCTATTTCATCATGGTTGTGATGATGTTATTTTTCTTCCAAGCTAGAGTTGCTAAAGGGAAAGCAGAGGACTTGAATTTCTATTGCATTGGACATGGATACAGTGTCTAGCATTTGCAAGCAATTTTTTTCAAAAACATTTTCTTACTTAAGCTCATAAGAAACAGTGCATTATGAATTACAGTCATCCTTCACAGATGTAGAATTAAGCTCTGGCAATTTTTTACTGACATCACAAAGCCAATAATTAGAAAAGGTTTGGCTTGAAATTTAAACTCCTGACTGAATATTGTGGTCATTCATTGCATCAGCTTTCACAAAAAAAAAAGGAAAAAGAAAGAAAAATTGAGACAGCTTGCAATTAGTGACATAAGTGTTATCATAGAGATTGAAGGAAGGTGAGGATTTTTGCTATCTGACTAACATTGGAGCCTGTGTTATAGTGGAGAATTCAGACAGCTAGGCTGTCTGGCTGTCACTGTTTTTTTCCCGCCCCCACCTCCATTCTCTCTGTCTCCCTACTGGGCTCTTTGCTGTCCCTAAAACATACTAAGTAAGTCCTCCTTTGTTCCTTCTGTGTCCAGAATTCCTTTCCTCTAGGTGTCTGCTATACTCACTCCTTCCATAAAGTCAACATTAAATATTCCCTGCTTATCTGACACACTGTCTGCCTACCTAAGATCCTGCTCTATGATTCTCTATATCACCTTCCATATTTTGTTGGACCAAAAGTTGGCCAGAAGTGCGGATCCTTATTGATTTCTGAGTAGCTGCTAATAATTTGGTGGGATGGTTATGGACTTCAAAGACATACAAATATTGGCACAAAGTGATCTGAAGAAGAGCTGTGTAGCTGGACCTATAGAAGTGGACACAGACATTGAAGTTATTTGTATGTCATGTGACTTCTTTACAGATTCAGAAAGTTGTCAGTACAAAGGTGTACAAGGTGGTATTCTCTGAAATGTCAGCCTCTTTCCTGGCCATTCTTGTGCTTGCTCAGTTTGAACGTGTACAAAGTGGCCATGGTGGCAGACTTGTCATAGATTCAACAATATGGACTTCCACTTCTGAGGTTGGCTTGACTTCATCACAACTGAATGCTTAAACTCCCAACAACATAGACCAATGATACGTCTCCAAATGCAGCATCCCCTGGTACCAAGTTGAGCACTTTGGACCTCTTTTGTCATTATGAGAAGGAAAACTTTCTCACGAAAAGACATAGCGATTATGTGTATGTATATATATATATATATATATATATATATACACACACACACACACACACACACACACACACACACACACACACACACACACACATTCTCTGCTTGGAATGCTCCTGCAAGGCAAGAACCAATAAACTATTGACTTATTTGTAATCATGAGTGTGCTTATAATTAAATTTAGATCATGATGGCAGTCATTACAGAAAAGTTACTCAGAATTATGATTATTACATTAATACACTGAAAATTATTTCTGTCCAAAAAAAGAATTAAAGTAAATGAAAATATAATCGTGAGTGATTATATGAATCTAAAATTTACTTTTCCTTTTCTGTAATCATGGGACTTTGTCAGACTGAAAGCTAACCTGATAAGATTTTGCTCAGATTTGTCTGAAACATTCAGAGGATGGTAAGCCAACGATGTCCAAACATCATAATATTGAGGGAATTCAAGAGAGATTTGGGGATCTTCTTTTAATTTCTTTTAAATTCTTATGGGCAGTACTTGGAAGCGTTAGTTGGACAAGAGATAGCAGCAGGGCTTATTTTCCTAAACTCAGAATCTTTGGCTCAGATCTTTTATAAACCATATCAAATCCATTTCCACCTGACCAAGTAACCTCACCTTTCTACCCCCTGCCAAAAGACACAAAGGATAGTCATTCTTTCCTAAACCTCCTGTATAGTAGAAGAGATGTCCACATACAGGTCAGAGGCCCTTCTATTCCACAAAATCCAGGCATCCTCCAGGCTTATCATAGACCTGTTATGAGTACTTATCAATTTTTAAGTTTTTTTAAACTATATCTGTAGTGGTTATTTGCCGACAAATTTACCTTTCTCATAAACTTGCAGTTGTTTATATTTTTAACTTGTAAATATATTACTAAGGTACCAATAATTAGTTGCATCTTTTAATATTTTTTAAAGAAATAAAAAATTCATAATTTGTTTATAGTCTTAATTAGTGTAATAAGCTTTTGCCTATACTGCAAGCAACATGTTATATGTCTTTAATCGGGAATAATAAAAGGGTGTGATTTTGGATATAGAGAAGGGAACCACTATGTCTAGGCATCTAATAATTACCTTCATTTATGTGAAGAACTTCATATAGCAAATGTCCATTAAATCCTTCCACTTGACAAAATATAAACCAGTTTTGAACCTCAGAAGAGTCCATTACTTTTATCCAGATCACAAAGCTCGTACAGTACAAGTGCTATGATGACATGGGCCATGTATTGGTTTTTGCTTATTATTTTATTCCCAGTATCATGAATAGTATTTACAATATGGTAGGATTTTTTAAATGTGTCAAAAGAATTAATTTTTTGGGGAAAAAGTGGAGTATAAATATAAACCCACCTGCCTTCCTGTTGCCAATATCTCTGTATTTCTGTTACACTGAAAAGACTTCTGTGATACACAAAAAATAATCATAAGGTTGAAAATTTGGCCCTTTTAAGAATTTTCAATTTGTTAGAAACTTAATGTCTTTTGTTACAGAGAATCTCATTCTAATTCTAGGCAGCACCACTAGAAGTTTAGGTCAATGGCATGTCAGGATCTCCTACCCATTGGTTCTCGCTCATTTTCCCATCAGCAGCAGGGAATCTTTTGTAATTTTTACATTCTCAGTTAGAATCACACTCTGGCAGAAAGCAAAAAGAAATAAAACAGGTTATACTAGGCAAAAAATCTTTGAGACATCAGAGAGACATTTTATGCTCTTCTGAATTCAGATCCTGGAGTTAATTTTCATGTTCATAAGTGCAAATTCCTGACAGCATTTTTAACCTAGCTGTTTGGTATGGCTTAAGGTAGAGGATGGCAAACCACTTACAACCTGTTTATGTAGATACGTTTTTATTGAAATGCTACTCTCATTCATGTATGTCTACCACTTCTTTTGTGCCGCAACAACAGCATAGGGTAATTGTGACAGAGACTGTGGACACAGAGCCTAATATCTTTACTATCAGATCCTTTACAGAAAGTGTGCCAACTTCTGCTTTAAAATGCATGTAGTTACTCCTGGAAGTAATACAGGGCCCACGGCTGAGAATTCCTGACATCTCAGAGAAAAACATAAGACATAAATGTGAATCACGGGTATGGAAAATAGATTCCACTTCCATCTGCTTAGCATGCACATTGGGCATGCACAGCAAAATATTAGAATGAAAAAGATGGCTTGGACCCTATTCGAGGACCATGGATGCTTGCATTAGTGGCATAAATATTATTCGATGGCATTGTTACGTGTGTTCTATGACCAAAACTATGCCTCAGTAAACAGGTATCTGGCGAGTGATAGTGGGCAATTCAGCTGCATTAAGGCTATTAAACTGTTTTAATCACTATTTCGTTTAAAAATCAGATAGCCTCTATCAACACTCTCCTAGGTAATAGACACTGCGTTATGTGATTTATAACCTCTTTTAATCCTTACAACAACCTAAATATGGCAGATGGTATTGTTATTTACTTTTAGAGGTGAGACAATCTTGTTGGCATACTCTATTTTTTTTTTTTTTTTTTTTTTGGTGCTCTCTGATGGCTAGTGATCAAATCTGATTCACATGCCTAGTGATTGCAAAGGCAGATTTCAAACAGGAGTATCTGAAGGCTGGAGAAATATGACAATCAACCGTGAACTCCTATACATTAAATTTGGGCACCCTTGTTTATTTGAACTCATCATCCCTTGCCATTTTATCGAGACCAGTGGAAGAAAGTTGGTCATCCTTGGAAAGTGAATACTTGTATAATTCCAGAGCCAATTCTTCCTAAGGCTGACTGCATTTATGCTTCAGGCCCATCAGCAGAACCCTTATTTACTAGGAGGTACTAATACTTGCACTAGAATTTTTTCCTGAGGAATGAGAGTTTATGTCTCCTGTACTCTCCATTCCAACTTACAGCTTCATTTTGCACCAATGTCCAAGGTAGAATTCAAGGTATGTCTTATGGCAAAATATCATGCTAGAAATGGACTCAGGTGTAAGTGAGCAGATATACCCTTGTTTTCTATTTGTATCATGTGCTTATGACCAAACTTATAGTTTGCTTTCCCAAGTGTACCCCCTTTGCTTTATCACCATATTGCTTGGATATCATCTGGAAAAACGTATCTAATTCCTTTTAGTTTTTTTCACCCCAGAAGCTGAGTGATGTTTCTCAGTGCACTTATTCTTACCTATGTGATTGTTGACCTTTGGCCAACAGGTATGGTCACAACACAAAATCTCATGCTGGTTTATCATACCCTCCAGATATCCAGATAGTCTTCATAACTCATCTGTATCTGGCCTTAGTGAGTCTCCATGGATATAGAAAATTGTTGATAATAATCACAGAATGATGATGGCATCTGGAAGTTAATTTATGCTATTATTTAGAAATTCATGAAGACTGTTTTATTTAATACTTAATATATATTTATTGGTCAACTATTCAAGTCCCTCCCCTAGTGTAATAATGTTGAAATAAACATAGTTTCTGTTCTCAAGGAGATTAAAACCTACCAGGATAGGCTGGGCATGGTGGCTCACGCTTGTAATCCCAGCATTTGGGAGGCCGAGGCAGGTGGATCACCTGAGCTCGGATGTTTGAGACCAACATGGCCAACATGGTGAAACCCTGTCTCTACGAAAAAAAAAAAAAAAAAAAAAATTAGCCAGGCATGGTGGTGTGCGCCTGTAATCCCAGCTACTTGGGAGGCTGAGGCAAGAGAATCCCTTGAGCTCAGCAGGTGAAAGTTGCAGTGAGCTGAGATCGTGCCACTGAACTCCAGCCTGGTCTGAGAGACAGAGTGAGACTATGTCTCAACAAAATAAACAAAACATACCAGGATAGATTGATGCTGCTGCACTCCCATAATTCTATGCGATGTCATATTTTTTCAAGAACATTCATGAAGATGTTTTTCCTAACACAAAGAGTCTCATTAGATGTTAGAACCATGTTCTTGGACTTTTCCAGAACCATGAGCCAAATAAATGGCTATTTATTATAAATTATTCAGTTTGTGGTATTCTGTTATAGCAGCACAAAATGGACTAAGACACTCACACAGGCAGTTGCTCCATTTCCCTGTGTCTCAATTTCCAAATATTGTAAGTAAGAAACATAATAAGACCTTCCTTATAGGACCTTCTGGCTAATTGAATTAGAATGATATAAAGTACATAGAAAAGGAGGTAATACATGCTAATTCTTCAACACATGTCAACTCACTACTGATCTCCCATTTTCTATAAGCGCATGTAGTAAAATATAGCTTTTAAAATTATTTTATTCCCCAGGTTTAATAACACTCAAAAATATTCTAACTCTATCAAAAGTGACTTAATTAACAGATTCATTTAGGTGTTCTTCAATATGCATTATTGAGTAATTCATTTTAGAAAGAGATATTTTGTTCCCCCATTTATCTAGTTTTTATTTTAAAGAATTTTCTCTAAACTCTCCTCCCATTTTGAACCAGAAAAAGATTCTGTAGTCCTGGAGGGACTTACTTACATGGCAGGTGGGCCACAGCCACTAGTCCACATGTCCTGCATGGATAGACTTAAATCTCTCAAATATCTTAAATACTAGCATTTTATTGGCTCTCTTTATCCCATGCATGTGAAAAAGTGAGAAACATGCTTGGTTAAGTGTGACTGCAGATTCAAGTGTTACTTGGGTGGGCTCTCCTGTGTCTAAGTGGATTATGGGGGAATTAGATGGGGATCAAACCAGCTCATCTTAGCTGCCATGGTATGTATCCTCCAGTCTATCTTTGTCAGTAATAAATATGAAATGTTGATTCTCTGGTTGCCATGTATTTTCCAAGTGTTAGTTCTCATTTATTCAAAATTGGAGCAGGGAAGGGGTATTTTATTTATCATACCTTATCATACTGCCTGACAGAACATTCCTAAGTATACAAGTCACATTTTTAATGGCCAGAAGGGCAGAGACAGGTAAGCAGTCTCTGTTTCAAGGTGATATTCGAACTGCATTGCTGCTCATGGCAGAATAATTTCCAAATGTTGCAAATTATTTAGCATAGATGTTCATATTTTTCAAAGCCAAACTTTAAAAATAATAATACTATTTTCATTGGGAAAAATATTCTTTTTGATGAAGTAATGAGTGCTAATTGAAAATGGATTAACTACAACTTTTCCTTCATTTACTCTACATGGGTTCAACAGATTGCAAAGGTAGAAATAAAGACATTCTTCTTGCTTTGGTGCTTTACGAATTTCCAGTGGCAGCCAAAACTTCACTCCAAAAAGATGAAGTCATCCTTTTTTCTCTGATTTACCTTTGGGCTTGAGAGAGCTTGACACTGGGTTTTTGAATGCCAGAGGGGACCTGAGCATCATTCTGTATTGAACAAGCACTCACATTGTCTGCTATAAAAATACAATATGCCTTTCTCTTTAAAGAGAAGTTATTTACGGTGATTTTTGTCCTCAAGGGGACATGCTTACCAGTTCTGTGTCAATAATTCTGCAGAGGAAATGTGGTGATTACATCTGGAAAAAAGTGGCAAAAGATGGAATTAAATCATATTATGAGTAAACGTTTTCTTACCCAGTCTAGTGGGTAAAACTGAACTATTTTCTGAAGGTGGCTAAGTGAAGAATGAAGGTCTTTCCCTAATTTTATTGTCATGAGGCAGAAATGAAATGATATATATGAAAAAGGTATGCATAAAATAGAGAGGAGTTTGAAAATATAATCATTATTAATGTTATTGAAGTAGATGTAGTCCATATAGGAAAATGAAAGGGAAAAAACAGATTCAAATAATGTCATTAAGTTTAATTCCAATGTACACTAATCTAGCTAGGTAGAGAGAGAGAGATATAAAGAGACAAAGACACAGATCTACATATAGACATATAGATACAGTCTGGAGATTTTTTTTTTTTCACCATTTACTTAAGGTCGGCTAATATATCAAAGAGTTCTTGTAGGTAGAAATCTTGTAATTCTATGACTCATAGAGACTTTTTAATTTTGTTTTCTTTTTTTTTTTCTTTTTTTTTGAGATGGAATCTCACTCTTGTTGCCCAGGCTGGAGTGCAATGGCGTGATCTCGGCTCACTGCAACCTCTGCCTCCCAGGTTCCAGCAATTCTCCTGCCTCAGCCTCCCGAATAGCTGGGATTACGGGCGCTTGCCACCATGCTCGGCTAATTTTTTGTATTTTTAGTAGAGACAGGGTTTCAGTATGTTGGCCAGGCTGGTCTTGAACTCCTGACCTCATGATCTGCCCGCCTCAGCCTCCCAAAGTGCTGGGATTACAGGAGTGAGCCATCAGCACCTGGCTGGGACTTTTTAATTTTTTTAATTTTAATTTTTATTTTTCCCTTAAAGTAAGTTTGGAAATTTAACTCTTAGGGACTTTAAGGGTTATCTAGTTCTTCCTGATGAGACACTGGAGTTGTCTCAGTGACATGCCCTCTAGGTGGTCATTTGGACCACATTAGCACACTCCAGGGACAGGACACTTACAGTGGATAGAGAATGCTTCCTCTTGAATAGCCCTAAATGGAATAGAGTCTATAAACAGCACTAGGCATAGAGAGGGCACCAAGTATGTGTATGTATTTCATGCTCACTCTAACTGGTCTCAATCTTCCTCCAGCAAGAAGGAAATATAGTTATCTCCATGTCCTCGCTTTTCCAACTCCTTTCTGCCATCGTAATCACCTATGCTATATAGTCATGAAAGGAGTGAGCATTCTTCCAGGGCATCTTCATTAATTTGAAGATATTTGCCTTAATTTGAGTCATCTGTTTTCTTCCTCTGTTCTCTCAACATCTTGAGATACTTCAGATAAACATTTTGGCCTTTGTTTCTTTCCCCGCTCCACGATCATTTATCGATATCTTAAACAAAATAAAGGTGAACCGTTGACCAAGAAAATGGAGGACTACTGATTGCTAACAGGAGACTGTGTTTAAGAGATAAGGAACTATCAGGCGGGGCACGGTGGCTCACGCCTGTAATTCCAACCCTTTGGGAGGCCTAGGCAGTGGATCACTTGAGGTCAGAAGTTGAAGACTGGCCTGGCCAACATGGTGAAACCCTGTCTCTACTAAAAATACAAAAAAAATTAGCCAGGTGTGGTCGTGGGCGCCTGTAATCCCTGCTACTCAGGAGGCTGAGACAGGAGAATCACTTGAACCCAGGGAACAGAAATTGCAGTGAGCCGAGATTGTGCCATTGCACTCCAGCCCGGGCAACAAGAGAGAAACCCTGTCTCAAAAAAAAAAAAAAAAAATGGTGAGAGAGAGAGATTTAAGGAGCTATGTAATGAACGAAGTCTGTGGCATTGCCTAATCCAGGAGCAGTATTGACCACATAGAAATGGATTCTTAACAACAGAGTTAAGAGTAGACAGTGCAGTTCCAAATGACACCATTCTTGAAATATTCATATTATATTTTTAAAATCTAAATTCAGTCCCACAGCTTCACATCTTAAAATAAAATTGGTCTTGATGCCATTCCTCATGATGGGTTCAAGATGGAATTTGTCTTATACTGGTTTCTTATATAACATAAATACATATACTTTTTGCTTACATAAATGCAATCCAGTTATACATAAATAGTCAGAAACCAAGGTTATTACAGGGTCTAGTTTACCCAGCAAAGTTCCAGCATAATTATTAATACCATCAGCATTTTCCTCTGAAAATCATTCTTACCTAGACAACATATTCTACAGTCAGCCTATCATTGATAATGTAAGGCTGAAAATTTCAACCAGGAATATTACTTTGACCAATGGTCATTAAAATGTCTCTGAAGGCCGGGCGTGGTGGTGGCCAGGTGTGGTGGCTCACGCTTGTAATCCCAGCACTTTGGGAGGCCAAAGCGGGAGGATCACGAGGTCAAGAGTTTGAGACCAGCCTGACCAACATGGCGAAAACCCATCTCTACTAAAGATATAAAAAATTATCTAGGCAGGGTGGTACGTGCCTATAATCCCAGCTATTGGGGAGGCTGGAGCAGGAGAATTGCTTGAGCCTGGCAGACAGAGGTTGCAGTGAGCCAAGATCATGCCATTGCACTCCAGCATGGGTGAAAGGGCAAGACTCCATCTCAAAAAATAAAAATAAAAATAAAAATAATATGTCTCTGAAAATATTTATTCTAAGCTGTGGAATATTTGAAAGTGTTTAGATCTCAAAAAGAATGCCGGATTCATTTTAATTTCCTTGTTATTGATGTCATTGAATGCTAAGTGGGTTCCTCTGTTTGCACACTTTCAATATCAGGGAATTCCATCCCTCTAGATCAACCTCTTCTATTTGCTGACAATTCTGACTCCTAATGCTCTGACTTGGGACTGAGTTCAGTTTCCTGTTAACTTTTCCACTTTGGACCAGGCCCTGTATCTTGAAGGAATATTCATAGTGATATGTTATACACAGAGTGGTTTCTATTTACCAGGCCCTGTGCTAGATATTTTAAATGTAAACATTTATCCAATTCTCACATCAAGATTCTAAGATTGATACTACAAACATCTCCATGACAACTGGGAAACTAGGCTCAGAAAAATTAAGTAAGAGAAAGAGTTGGTATTCAAACTCAACCAGTTAAGCTCCACAGTATATGATCATAAACACTAGCTGGATTAATTTTGAAACTCACACACTAAAGTATCTTCAGCATATCTGAAGATAAGTGATTATGGACCCATACCTAGGGTTTTTTCTTCCCAGGTTAAGCAGCCTCAGTTTCTTCTACATTTCTTCATGTTACTTATTTCCTACCTCATCTTATCCAACTGCCCTTGCAGACTGCAGTCCAGTTTTCCATAAGCCTGGTCAGTGATTTAATGTGGTCAAGGGAAATTTGAGTGGACTGGGAGACAGGAAACTGATTATTTCTACCTGTGCCAGTGAGTTTCCGGGAACCATTGATCATGCTATTAAATATTATCCTGTTTCTTTCTCTAGTGGAATTTTAGAAGAGTTTCTGAACTTGGTGAAAAGTATTCTAATCACATTCCTAGTACAAACTCTTATGTGCTTTGGACATTTACTTCCGAATTCTAAGGCTCAGTGTCCTTACTATGAAATAAGTAGCATGATCTCAATGATGAGCATGTATGTTCCTATCACCCATCCTGTCCTCCCCAAAGAATAGTAGTGGTTGAGACTGACTTAAGTTACCTTAGCTTTGAAGCTCTATGTATAAGAACCTAAGGTTCTGAATGATGGGAAGCCCAAAGGTGTTTGCTATGAATTGAGACCTTTTTTACGTCTTTCTGAGATAAAGGGGAATGAACATTTCAAGAAGGAATATAGAAATTTTTGTCTTTCTGCACATGATTACCAAGGCCAAACTTGGGTGATTTCTCTTGGCTGACTCTTTTATTTTGGCCATTTAAGGCAGCAAAAGAGAAAAGAAAGAAAGAAAGAAAGAAAGAAAGAAAGAAAGAAAGAAAGAAAGAAAGAAAGAAGGAAGGAAGGAAGGAGGGAAAGAAAGAAGGAAAGAGAAAGAAAGAAAGAAAGAAAGAAAGAAAGAAAGAAAGAAAGAAAGAAAGGAAAGAAAGGAAGAATAAGCAAGGGAGCTTAGAGACATCACAGTTTCCCTTCAATAATTACAATGCCATTATTCATTCACTAAAGAGTTACTCTCTCAAATGACTTTTTTACTTTGTCAGCATTTGTATACTTCCTCCTAATCTTCTCTGGGTTGGCAATATATCATGGTATACTCTGAATCAGAACTTAGAAAGAAACATCTCATTCAGCTCTAAACAGTGGTGTAGAACACTGAATGGAGATTGAGATTGTCTCAGGTAGCCTAGATTATATGTCCATTGAATTCTGTCAGAGTCGCATATTCATAGATCATATGTCACACAGTGTGGCCAACTGGCTTTGGCCTGTGATTGTCTCATGCCTGATATCCACGATGCACAATTTCCATGAACGATTTTCATGCTGCTGGCCCTCTCCTCTCCAATAGACATCTACCCTCTCCTTGACCGTCAGCTACACAAAGAATGGTACCAAAACCTTCATCTGCATACACTTAAGTTGAAAGACTTTGCACAAAGTAAGTCTACTGTATTAGTACGTTTACATGCTGTTGATAAACACATACCTGAGACTGGGCAATTTATGAAGAAAAGAGGTTTATTGGCCCTACAGTTCCACATGGCTAAGGAGGCCTCACAATCATGGCAGAAGGCAAAGAGGAGCAAGTCATGTCTTACATGGATGATGGCAAGCAAAGAGAGAGCTTGTGCAAGAAAACTACCGTTTTGCAAACCACCAGATCTCGTGAGACTTATTCACTCTCACAAGAACAGCATGGGAAAGATCGCCCCCATGATTCAATTACCTCCTACCAGGCTCCTCTCACAAAATGTTGGAATTATGGGAGTACAATTCAAGATGAGATTTGGGAGGGGACACAGCCAAACCATATCATCTACTGAGTAAAGAGACACATAAAAAGTGAGTGAACAAATCTCATTCCAATCCTGGAATATAAACTCCTGAAGGGAATTCACATCTTCTCTTTTCCCTTGGGCTCTGCATAGCAGCCAGCATAGGCATGAATGTGTCTGCCACATACCTCTTACTACTTGTTTAAATGTGAATTAAATTCCAAATCTTTAAATAATAGTGGCTATAAATAATAGTGGCTAATAATAAGCTGCAGTTTAAAGTGACTAATAATAAACTTCTCTGTTCTTACAGGATAATTTTAAGGACTAGAGGAAAAAAATCAGTTTGGAAGAGTGTTGTAAATTGCACAGAGTTACATCAATAATAATAATAGCATCCAAATGACCATTATATGGTGCTTTTTAGTGTAAGAGGTGCTAAGAATCAAAAGAACCTGACTCCTCAGTAGTTTGTAGTAGAAAGAACATGGGTGGTTGACTTTGAATTAGGCCACTATGTGCCAAGTCATCCGTGTACTTAACATTATCCCCAGAAGGTAAGATTTGTGAAAACAAATGGGCCAGTTGGGCTTCACACCCACTGCATAGCCAATGCTTTACACCTCATTGAGGACTCTCCAGTGGCCACCTCACTAGAGCTAGTTGGAAATATCAAAACAGCCATTATTGTTGTAATGAGCTTTCATGTTTAATCGTTTCAAACATGAAGGATAGCTGGCTTTTCAGAGAGTGATCTATCCAACAATATGGTTCACCACCCATGAGGCAACCCAAATCCCACAGACTTTGTCACTGCCATGGGCTCAGATTGAACTGGGGACAGTATGTGCAGGTGTTTTTAACCAAGACAGACAGGTTAACTGAACAGCTGTCTAACAAATGGCCACTTCTCTTTGACATCTGGAGTCCTTCAGCAAGGGCATCTGGAAGATTTCACCATATTTGCTGGCTTAATAGAAATAAAAATAATGATAAGAATAAATAATAATAGTATTAATAGTAAAAAGTATTTATTTGCCTCAGGCACTCTGCTAAGAATTTTACATTTATTATTTTAACCTTTAATACAAAACAATGCTATCATTATGTTCAGATTGCCCATTAAGAAAAATATATATCATAATTGATGGTTAAAAGATTATATTTGTATAACATAAATCACTAAGCTGTTGTGAAAATCTACACGAGTTTGAGAGAATGACCTTCCTTCCCTCATATTAAATAAATGAGAACATAACCCCGGAGAGAAGAGGTCACAGTGTGTGGATAATCAATGGCTTAGGGAGGGTTGAGAACTTCCTCTTGTCCAGCCATAGATGCCTTCTTTGTTAAAACTATTCAATGTTCTGTACTAAAAAAAACGTATGTTTTTTATAAATAAAGTACATATTTTTAGCTGTATTGAAAAATACTTGATACACAAAATTGTACATATTTAATGCGCACAGTTTGATGAAATTCGACAGATGGATGAGCTCATGACACCATCACCACAATCAAGGTACTAAATGTCTCTCACCTCCACAAATTTCCTTGTGGTTTTTGTTTGTTTGTTTGTTTGTTTTTTGGTAAGAACACTTTACATGAGACCTATTTTCTTAACATATTTTAAAGCACACAATACTATATTATTGACTATAGGTACTATGTTGTACAGCAAGTCTTTGGAATTCCTCCTTAAGTAGGTGGTCCACAATTTTTTCCTGTGTTGAAGATTTTCCTGTGCTCCTCCACTGTAGGCCTGCTCTGCAGAATTGTCCACACTTCCACATTCCAGACTCAGAGTGCATTCAGCCTTCCTCAATAACTGTCTCCATTAGCTGCCAAAATTACCTAAGAAATTCAGTATTGTTAGTGATTCCCCTTCTCTCTTCTTAGAAAAAAAATGCATTTTTTTGTTGTTGTTATTGTTTTTTGTTGTTGTTGTTTGCTTGTCTATTTCCTCAAGGGTTTTACTGCCTTCTACTATGACCAAAATAAGCCTATAAGCATGGTGAATATGAAAAGGTGACCAGAAGCTCAGACGTGTTATTCTTTTACATTATTCTTCCTGAGCTAGTATTCCACAAATTAAGAAATGAATTTCTCACATGGTAACTGAGAGCCCCACAGGACTCACACTCTTCTCTCTAGATCCAAACAGAGGCTTACCAACATCCTTCTATCCACCCATGGGTGGAAGACATCCTGCTCCTTCCTTACATTGACACCTTTTCCTATAATAATGTTGAAAAGGCAATATAATATCAAATTTTTCAATTGAGTGCAAGTTAACCAATCAAATATTACATTTGAGGGATAAAACATGAAGGTGTGTTGATAGTAGGACATTGTGGAATAACCACCATGGGAGTGGTGGGGTGGCTTTCAGTGAAACTGCAGTGGCAACACATCATGACGATCACAGCAGTGGCAGACTTCAAGGGAACTATGGCAGCTACGTTCACCCTGGTTGCACATGGGTAGGTTTCATCACTGGGGGTCTGCAGAAGGTGTGGCCCCCCTCAGATAGACCAGCACCTTAACTGCAGCATTTCATGAACCATTCAACAGATACACACTAGAAACAAGCAGGTTTAATCTGAGGCCCTTACAGATTTGTGCTAAGGATCTCAAAGGGACTTCCAATATAACAGCATTGGCGTGAGTTTCCCTTGCGCTTCTCAGGAACAGGTATCCATGAGCCCTAGTGTCCTGTAAAGGGTAAGGAGACATTGCAATAATAGAGAGATTGTTTCTTGTAAGTGGTGGAAACTGTTCTCTGTTCAGAAATTCCTCATCTAACTCCCTCATAACCTGTAATTGGGGTAATTATTCCTTTTCCCCTCTCTTTAGCATATGATCCTATTTGCATGTTTTAACAGCATTTTAATAATTGACACATTTTCATAATTATCAAGACTTAGTCACTACATTTTAGGCAAAGCATCCCATATTGGACACCATTCAGAGTTGGGAAGAGGTTGAATATATGGGGAGAAAATGGCAGGAAGGACGCCTGCTCAGCAGATAAGTAGCTAAAAAATTGCCATGCTGTTGGGTACCAGCCAAACACTAATTTCCCCGAAAGGCCTATTCTAGTAATTAACACATATTGAAGACAGAGAATCTTAGTGTTACAATGTTTTAATATTTGCACAGCATTAACCTTCTTCTCTCACTTACTACTAGCAATGGACTTACTGTTATCTTAAGGCAGCATAGTCTTAAGGCCAGTCATTGGCATAAATACTTCCTAATTCCTCAATTTCCTAGCTATTTGTTTCAAAATAAATATATGGATCCTATCCCCATATTTATTTTATTTTATGACTCTCCTATAGAAACTCCAATATTCGTGGTATATACTTTTTTAAAAAATATCTGTGATCTTCCGAAATGAATAACCTGCCTGAATTCTAGAAAATCAAGGGAGGTATGAGCTATGTAAAATAGAGATAGGGGAGCTGCAAAGATGCAGTGAATGCCCTGAAAGAGATAAGGTCCCAGAAATACAAGCGTCAAAGGTATATTCTGATACGTGTTTTGCAGAAGGGGTGTGTGCAATCCATTTTCAGAAAAGCCACAATATGCTTCTTTGAGATGAACTTTCTATTCTGACCTATGCTGTGCAGTCCACTAGTTTCTTGAGAATATTTTGATGCCATCTATATTTGTGATTTCTTTTCTCATGTTACCCTGTGACAAAAGATGAACAAAATTGCTGGAGTAAAACCCTTGAATCTGGTCACAATGACTGTAATTTATAGCACACAATTGTCTGTTGGCCACGTGCAAAATGATTCACTTCTCTGAACCTCACATCATGTCCTCAGGCAACATCTGTTTCCATATATCTGAATGGATCCTGGCAGTATGAACATTTCTCTGACACTGGTTATGAGTAGTCAATCATAACCAGCTCAGATCAGATCCTGGGGACCTCTGACTCTACTATCCCTTTAGCATAAAGAGACTATATCATCTAAGGGACAGTGAATAATGGTAAATATCCTAAGATTCTTCATTAGCTCTGTAAACAAGCCTGGACCAGTGGCCCTTTTTCTGGATTCCCAGAGCACCATGAGCTTCTGTCATACCAGTGTACGTTCCTGTCATTACCAGTTTAGTTATACATCTTCCTTGAAGGAATATAGGTTCTGAGGGTAGAGACTGCATCTACCTTGTTATCCTATAGCTTATATTCTACTTTAGAAAATCATTACAAAAATAAAAATGCAAAACAATGATAAATACTAATGAGAAAATAATGTGGAGAAAGACAGCAAATGTTAAGGGCTGTTAAAGTTTTAAATTGGATAGTGAAGGGCAGCCTCTGAAAGACAGGTTACTGTTATTCCTGTTTTCCTGATGATGAGCAGTGTGCTCAGAGAGGGTAAGTGGTTTGTCCATGGTGGCACAGCTAGAAGGAGAGTGAGCAGATTCGAACCCAGGTCTCGTGTTGTACCACAGCAGTCCTCTACTGCCATGAGTTCCAGGGAAGACGTGATAGGGCCTATATCCCAAATCCCCCTGGGATGGTTAAATGTCTGTGTCAACTTGACTGGGCTGAAGGATGCTTGGAGAGCTGATAAAATATATTTCTGGGTGTGTCTGCGAGGATGTTTCTGGAAGAGGTTAACATTTGAATCAGTAGACTGAGTAAAAAAAAGCTGTCTTCACCAATGTAGGGGAGCATCATCCCATCAACCGAGGGCCCAAGTAGAACAAAAAGTGGAGGAAGGGAGAATTTGCTCCCCCTGCCTAATTGCTTATTCCCAGACATCTGTCTTCTCCCATTCTTAGCCTAAGGCTAACACCATCTGTTCTGCTATTTCTTAGGCCAATTTCTCATAATAAATATCTTGAGATAGACAGATGATAGGTGCATAGATAGATTTTCTATTGGCCCTGTTTCTCTGGAGAACCTTAATATACCTGACTAATGAGTAAAACTATCTTGCTGGCTATTCTGTTGAGAACAGATAAGAAATAATTGCCTATATAAGCATATAATCCTTTAGAGGAGGCCTTTGAATATAATTGGGAAGGTCAATTAATTTTTTTTAATTAATCTAGTAAACAACTTTAAGGTAATAAAATCTTATTATTCTTTTTCCTCACTAAAAACACTGTCATTTGGAGGAAAGTCACTAATCCTTTAACAATAAGGAGGAGTGCAATAGGAGGATAGGATCTCCCAGTAACTTCTAAATATTACCATATAACAACCACATTTATACTTCATAGTACAGTACAATGAATATTCTGAATAAAAATCTATGTGGATTACCCCTGAGACTTTCTTTGTTTACTTTTATCTATATATTTTACCTCTGTCATAAAACAATCATTTCAATTATTTGTATCTGTAAACTCGGAGAAAAGAGTCTACTTTTCAGAACTCTTGAAAGTGTTAAATAAAATGACATAAGGAAAAAAAGCCAGTATACATTTTAACATATAGGAAGTACTCAATAAAATGTGAGGGTCTTGTTTGTTTTCTTGTTTAAGCAGGATTCAAAACGTGTACTCTTACAGTGAAATCAAATTCTGTGCTCAAACAGAAAAACCTGGTTGTCTATATATTAAAATATTTGATTTAAAGTATCTTCAATCTTCTCTCACCTCCGTCACTGGAAATTGAATAAAAAGAAATTCAAGTTAAATCGAAGGCTTTAAAAAAGTCTCATAATTTTTATAAAGCAAATGAATTGTAAAATGTCACCTCTGTGGGACAAGGGGGAGGGAATCAATATAAAAAGGAGACACATAGCATTATTGGTTTTCGTTTTCAAAAGCACCATGGCTACTTTAACCCTGAACAACATATTTTTCTATTTACTTTTTGATACAGGATGGATTTTTCTTTTCCTGAGTTGAACTATATAAACAACAAAGACCAAAACAAATGAACAGTGTCAATATTTTGTCTATGAAAATTTCAGATACTATATAGGATTTTCTTATTCCTCTTTTGAAATTTTCAGGTTATTTAACTATGTGGCGTTTTATGATGTTTTCTCCTTCTTACTATAAACAGTGAATAATATCTTTCAATATGTAGCTCAAATGCTACCTCTGTGATTCATAAGACCATGGAATTACAGAAGTAGAACGAATGTGCAAGGTTTACTACCTATACGATCATTTTTTTTTCTCTAGGTTTTTGTTGTGGTCTGAGGTCAGATTTATATCTCAAGTTATGACTGTGCTTATTTTCTTAGTCTTTCTGTTTCTCTCTGCTACTACTATCCTTCCACTGGTATCCCTTTGAGCACCCCCTGAGTAGCTTTAAGGAGAAACAAAGATTTTTATTCTTCTTGATGATCAAATGATATTGATCTCAATGGCCAGATAAAGCTGGGAAAGAGGGAAATAGAAAGGAAGGACTGAGAAGACAGAAAAATATGCAGATGTCAGAGCCCTCCAGAGAGAATAAGAGAAGTGGAAAAAAAAGGACCCAGCACCAAACTCTGTTCAAACGTGGACCATCCACACCACTGATCCAAACCCATGGATAACACAGTCCAGAGTCCTGGGAACTTGTCAGGCCCATGAGAAATTCCAAGGATGTGGACATCTTATATGAGGATGTAGGCATCAGAGAATAACTTGGGCATGAAATTACGATTGGACTATCAGATCCTTTAGTCAATCTCCCTGCATGTGAGATCCCTATACAGTGGATTAATCAGCAGTATTTTTAGTTTGTTTTTAGATTGTTGTAACTTATGTTTTACAATGAACTCAATATGTACTCAATTGAGAAAACGAAGACATATATAAAAAACAAAAGAAGCAAGACAAAATATATATAGATCAAAAAGCAAAGGCAATCTCATTTAATATCTAATTTTTTATAGTCTTTTTTCTATTTATCTTACAGTTTTCACTTGACAAATACTTGTGATGTGATTACTGTATGTCAGGACTGGTAGGGATGATTGAAATGATATTGTACGTGCAATTTGGTGTCTAGTATTTATTCAATTAACATGTTTTTAAAGGTATAGTATAGATAACTAATAGGATTAGATAAACATCACTTTAATGACAGAATAATTATTTTCTGTGATTATAGTGTAATTTATTTTACCAATTCTTTTTTTTAAGAGATATTAAGTCATTCTCATTATTTTACCATTATAAATAAGTCTGGATTGGGCATGTTTATGAAATAAATTTTGACTATGATTTTCCACTTTCTTGTTGCTTCTTAATTACTGAATTGTTTTTGTTTTTGGCATTGTTACTGAGGGACTGTTTAGCATTAGTCTTCACTCCTACAGAACCTACTATCTAATTGGACAAAAATTGAGATTCAGAAATGCCAAGAAGCTAGTCTAAAGTCATACAGCTAATCCCTGGTGTGACTGGCTGGTGTCTCCCAATTTGTCTTCTAACTGTACTTTTTCTCACCTATTATACTTGAAGCACAGTTGGCTCTTTTCAGGAGGTAAAACATACTGTTTTCTAACCTTGATACGTATTCACAAAACAGTTCCTAGTTATGCATCCTCTCCTCTTGTGGTAAAGTCTGCATAATGTCAGCACAGATGGATCAACCAGGAAAAGCAAGTCACAGTTCTGAAAAGAATATAGCTTTGTCATCAGAGTTGGGGTTGAATTCCCTCTGTCACACTAGTTATGTCAACTTAAACATGTTTCTTAACCAAACTTCTATTTTAAGACTTTATTCATCTATAAAATGGATATAAACTTTGGTCACAGAGTATTGTTAAGGGTATTTATACCGCAGGTGTATTTACATCACAGAAACTGGAAAATCAAAACAGCTGGGCTTTTTCACCCCCAAACATGGTGGCCAGATTCAGCAAATAAAAATGTAGGATGGGCCAGACGTGGTGACTCACGCCTGTAATCCCAGCACTTTGGGAGGCCGAGGCAGGTGGATCACGAGGTCAGGAGATCGAGATCATCCTGGCTAACACAGTGAAACCCCGTCTCTGTTAAAAATACAAAAAAATTAGCCGGACGTGGCGGCGGGCACCTGTATTCCCAGCTACTTGGGAGGCCGAGGCAGGAGAATGGCGTGAACCCGGGAGGCGGAGCTTGCAGTGAGCCGAGATCGCGCCACTGCAATCCAGCCTGGGGGACAGAGTGAGACTCCGTCTCAAAAAAAAAAAAAAAAAAAAAAAAAAAAAGCAGGATGCACAGTTAAATTTGAATTCTAGATTAACCTCAAAAATTTTTACTATAAATAAATACATCTTCTGCAATATTTAGGATAGTTTGTGCGTGTGTGTGTGTGTGTGTGTGTTGTTTATCTGAAATATTGTGGCATTAGACATACAATACTTGGGACTTACTTATACTAACAACAACAGACTCTGCTGTTTATATGCATTTCTAGTATTTTATCTGGAGACCCTATGATAGAGGGACTAGTTGTGAACATTCAACTGCACGTCATGATTCACAGAATAGTCACTAGCACTTTTTGGCACTAAATATGTGTCGACTTTCTTTGCCTGCTTTCCTTCCCTCCTTCCTTTCATCCATCCTTCCTTCCTTCCTTCCTTCCTTCCTTCCTTCCTCCCTCCCTCCCTCCCTCCCTCCCTGCCTCCCTCCTTCCCGCTCTGTCTCCCTCCCTCCCGCTCTGTCTCCCTCCCTCCCTCCCTCCTCCTCTTTCTTTTTTCTTTCTTTCTTTCCTTTTTTCTTCCTTTCTTCCTTTCTTTCTTCTCTCCTCTCTCTGTCTCTTTCCTTCCTTCATTCCTCTTTCTTTCTTTCTTTCTTTCTTTCTTTCTTTCTTTCTTTCTTTCTTTCTTTCTTTCTTTCTTTCTTTCTTTCTTTCTTTCCTCTCTCTTCTTTCGTGAAATGTAACCCTTCATGGGACAATTATATATCTTTTCTAAAAGAGCTATTAGGCCTGAAAATTCTCTTTTACTAATATAATATAAAGATGACACTAACAATTTCATCAGTGAACTATATTCATCATTGGAAGACTGAAGGCATAGCTTAATTTAAAACAATATAAAATTGAAAATAAACATTTTAACATGGCAGGTGTTTTTCCTAGTGTAAGTGAATTATTTATTAGATTTAGACCACACAATGTTTATTTGAATTTTTTGTATTTTGATAATTAATGCATTTTCATGGAGTTGGCTCTGGTGAATTTTTGATGTGTCAACTTGCCTAGGCTGAACTACACTCTCCAGAATTCCTTTTCTAGTATTATTTCAGTTTTCAGAGATTCTCTCCCAGTGGTTGAAAGGTGAGAGGGAGGCAGTATCCATTTTGTAGCAAACATGCATTGTTGCTGATTTACTGATTCATTGGAGTGCAAAGCTGAACTTGAGCCTGCCACTGTTTACCCTTCCTCCTGGATCTTCAGTCAATTCCTTTCTATTCCGGGCCCTCTGTGCGTTTAGTTTCTTGACAGCAGAATTTGATTTCTGCAGAATTCCCACTTCTTTCAATTTCTTTCATATATCAAGTTTTTTGCTTCTGTTTTCTGAATACGAAACAAGAATTTCAGAGAATTGCAACAATAAATAGGCACCTGTCCCCTTAGATTTTGGATGCATCATATTTCTATGACCTTATTTCTCACAGATTCACACAAGTCATAAATTTGTAGTCAGTTTCTGTTGTTGTAAGGGTGGAGCAATGTTTTTTCCAGCTCTCTGCATCACACATAAACCGAGAGTCTCCAGGTGGAAACTTTAAATGTCATTATAACTAGGAAAAGCTGTTTAGTAAATGTATGTGCATGTCTGTGTGTGTGGGTGTGTGTCTGTGTGTGCGTGTGAACTTGTATCTGCATTTTGCTGCAGTGCATCTATGTCTAAGGGCATTACCTGAAATATAAACACAGATTCAATAAGTAATTTATACAAGAAAGTTCATAATCATAATGGACTTATTTATAATTGCTCAAATCTAGAAACAACCCAAAGTCTATCAACAGGGCAATTAATAAGCAATTTATGATACATTTATATAATGGGATATTACTCAGCAATAAGAAAGAAAGGAATGCTATATAAAAATTACACAAATAAATCACAAAACACTGTATGTTGGGTGAAGGAAGTAGACACTGAAGACATAGATTATTTTTGCTTGACCTTAGTGTCACATAAATGGAATCACACCAAGGTCAAGCAAAAATAATTGATGTTGACATAAATCAGTAAAAGGTTGCCAGTGTGGGGAATTTGATAGAAGAAAGTGGTCTGGGGAAATTTTCTTTGCCGTCAGAGTTGGGGTTGAATTCCCCAACTCTTTAAAAGAAAACTTTTTTTTTTTTGAGAAAAAAACTTTATCTGTCCTTTTGGAGTAGTGGTTTCATGAGTGAATAAAATTATAAAAATTCAATGAACTGGGTACTTTACATTTGTGAATGTTTTTGTTTGTTTGTTTGTTTGTTTGTTTGTTTTGAGACGGAGTCTCGCTCTGTCGCCCAGGCTGGAGTGCAGTGGTGCGACCTCGGCTCACTGCAAGCTCTGCCTCCCAGGTTCACGCCATTCTCCTGCCTCAGCCTCCCAAGTAGCTGGGAGCACAGGTGCCCGCCGCCACGCCCAGCCAATTTTTTGTATTTTTAGTAGAGATGGGGTTTCACCATGTTAAACAGGATGGTCTCAATCTCCTGACCTCGTGATCCACCCACCTTGGCCTTCCAAAGTGCTGGGACTACATGTGCATCTTATTTTATTTAAAATTTCCCTAAAACATGTTAAGTTTATGCCAAACTTGAGAGAGAGAGATTAAACAGGTAAGTATCAGGAATAAAAAAAGAGAACTTTATTACAGATCAATTATCATCAAAAATATTAGAGTATAATGAATAACTTCACGTTAGTACATGTGGATATCTAGATAAAAAATATGTTCCTTGAAAAGAAAACAGGTTATTAACACTGACAGAAGTAAAAAAATCTAAATAGTCTTATATATCTAAATACATTAATTTGTAGTTTAAAATCTTCTCACAAGAAAACTCCAGGTACGGGTGTTTTTTTCACTCAATTTTAAATTGTGTGTGGGAATGCAAGGAGCAAGGATAGTCTATACAAAATTGAAGAACAGCAAAACAAAATATTTTACTTCTCTCGATGTGAAGACATTTTAGAAAGTTGTAGTAATGAGGACAGTGTGCTATCGGCACAAGCATAGACTCTTAATGTAGCAGATGGTTAATATAAACATAACTGATAAGAGAATTAAAAATTAGTCCCGCTTATAAAAGATATATAGTTTATTGTGAAGGTGGTATTATGGTACTGTAGGAAAGGACGAGTGTTTTCATATATGTTGCTGAGACAAGTGGATATAAACATCATAAAATATTACAATAGACCCCCAACTCATACTAAAGGGAATTATAAAATGTGGCCTGATTCTACATCTAAATGTGAAAGATAAAATGGATTATCTTTCAGATATTAATAAAGAAAAAAAATTTAAGTGGAAGAAAAAACAGCAGCCACAAGGTAAAATATCGATAAATTAGTCTCTACTAAAATCAGTAACTTCTATTCATCAAAATATATTATTACAAAGTGATAACTAAAGCCACAAAGTTGGAGGAGACATTTATGAACACCTATAATCAATGAAAGTTCCATAACCAGAAGATATGTAAAGAACACTTAGAAATCAATAAGAGAAAAATAACTCCAACAATTAAAAATAGGAGGTGGGTAAAGCCATAAGCAGGCCTCTATCAAAAGAGGAAATCCAAAGGACCAATAAACAGTGCTTCCTCAAAGAAACATGAATCAAACAAATATTTGCCACACAAAATTCATAAAAATAACCTAAAAGAGATAAAATGGCAAAACTAAGTGATATTTAGTTCAATGTATGTTAAAGTAGACCAAAAAAAAAGGCCACAATAATTTTGGTGTTTGAACTCAAGATAATGGTTACCTTGAGAAGCAGAGAAAGATTAGTATTTGGGAGGGGCACAAAATCAACTCTGAGGCATTGGTGATGTTTTACTGGGTACTAGTCACCAGATGTGTTCACTTTGTGATCATGCTTTGAGCTCTCTATTTGAACTCTTTTCTGTACATATATTTCAATAAAACCTTTAAAAACCCCAATAGGAATAAAGAAAATGAGATAATTATTTATAGAGTTGAAATTTAAACAAAAAAATTATCCATGAAAACATCACAAAAATTTATTTTATAACTTAAGTGGAATGAAATTTTTTCTAAAAGTTAGAAATTTCACTGAAGGAGGCAATGAAATCCTGAATAAACAAATTACTCATTAAGGGAAGTAAGTTTCTGGCCATGACAAAATAGCACCATTCAGACCGTATTCTCAATACTGATTCACTTACTCATTTGCACTTATTTAGCAGGTTTCTACAGTCAGTAATTAAAAATGTAATTTTCACATTGGAGTTCACTGTGTCTGTACCTATTTAGTGACAGTCTAGTCCACAATAGCATCTATAGGAGGGTCCTGGCTTCTTTAGGTCTTTCCAAGATTTTAATCTTTTCAAATGTGCAGTAGTAGCTTTCATCTAAGGTACATATCTGACTGCACGTTTGACCTGGGTAGTGTTGCTAATTACTCTCCTTACTGAACAACAAAATGCTGTTGGAGGTGTGTTAATGCAATGTTGTAAAAAGAATGAGTTCAGGAATGAGATCAATCTGGGAGCAAATCCCAGCTCTGTAACATCTTAACATCAAGGATTTTTGACAAGTGATATGATTATAGTAACTGACATTAGAAAGCTTACTAATCACCAAGCACTCTCCTAAGAAATGCCATAAACCTTTTTGTTTTGTCCTTGTATCCACTCTATGAGTCATGCACTATTTTTATTGAGATTTGACAGGTGAGATAAGCACAGGAAGCTGAAGCTCTTACCTATAGTAATACTGATAAGTTTTGGAGCCAAGATTTTAATGTTTGCTGACTATTTAACAAAGGTATAATCATAACCACTAAGTTATATTTTCTTCCTGTCTAGTTTATACAACTTTGAGACTTAGTTTTCTCACTTAAAAATGAGGGATAATTTTATTTGCATGATAATCTTGCGTGGATGGCATTAAAAAGGTCACCAATACCAAAGCATTTTCCATCAAGCTGGGCATATAAGCACATGCACTTGATCCATATTTATTTTGAGACAGAGTCTCACTCTGTCACCAGGCTGGAGAGCAGTGGCGCAATCTTGGCTCACTGCAACCTCTGACTCCCAGGTTTAAGCGATTCTCCTGCCTCAGCCTCCTGAATAGCTGGGATTACAGGCACAAACCACCACACCACCATGCCCAGCTAATTTTTGTATTTTTAGTACAGACAGAGTTTCACCATGTTGGCCAGGATGGTCTTGATCTCCTGACCTCATGATCAGCTTCGGCCTCCCAAAGTGCTGAGATTACAGGCGTGAGCCACCGCGCCTGGCCAAGCCCATCTGTTTAACTGCTATTATGTGTTGCCTCATTTGGCTATGAATTTCTTCAGGGCAAGGGCTTTGCTTATCTGATTTTTAGACTGTAGTCACTAGCATCGTTTCTGACACAAATAATTGAAAAAATATTGAAATATTAGACCCCTGCTTTAAGAAGAAAACTCTGAAATTAATATAGAGAATAGATTGTTTGATATAAAGAATGGATAGCCTGGCATAAAGATTTTTTCTGTACTAAATCATCTGATTTTAAAATAGTAAATGAATAAATGAACAATTGAACAAACAAGATGTCATCTTAGATGATATATCCCATGTCTGACGTATCCTTAGATACATTGGAGCCTATCTAAGTGTGTGCAGACACGAGCAGCATTTCAAAGACAGATCAGAAGGACGTGATGACAGATTTAAGACTTACGGCCATGAACGGAATGCCAGGGCACTCTCAAGCATCACTTCTGTGTTCTCAATTATAATGTCAAATCAGACTCTTGACAAATCAGGTGCCCGAATGTATTTTTCCTCCTAGTTGCCCACAGCTCATGGTGGTAAGACTTCAGAATTAAGGAAAACTTGAAGTGGAATCTTCCTCTAGACTGGGTGTCATCTCCAAGTGGAGATCTAAGCAGATTATACAAGCATAGTGACGGTATCAGCCCAGGTATCTGAGAAGGCTTATCATCTGCTTGAGTCTCAGTTAGAAAGTGATTTTTATTTCCTTTCTGAAGCTTTTCTAAAATGCTAAATTAACATAGATCGCTTTTTAAATCTAAAAGTATGAGTTGGATTTTTAAAATACATATTTTCTACCTTGCATGGTAACAATAAATAGGCCGTAGCATCCAACTTTAAAGTTCCTGACTAAGCCCATGTGTGTCGTGATAATCCCGTTGGAGCAGCAAAGCCACACACTGAAAAGAGAAAAGCAAATATTTATGGGTCAAGAATGCTGTAAGTGGATACCCTGGAGAAACTGAGACTGGTTTTACTGTGCAATTCGTCTATCTTAGAAATCTTCCTGCTCTCTCACAGTAATTGAGAGCTACCACAGTGCTAACTCCTTGGATACCATCAATATTACCTATGACTATAGGTTAGAAGGTCAGGTCCTTGCCTACCAATTACTCATTGAATGACTCTCAGGAAGTACATTGGATATGTTCAATTGACAGCATCCACGTTGTCATCTTGCTCTGCTGTTTTTAATATAATAAAGGCTGGAAAGCAAAGTCAACCTTTCTTGGCTCTATTGCAACCAGGCTTCTGACACAAATTTGGCTGTACCAATTACATTCACTTAAGTGATTTAGAAGAGAGGAGTGAAGATGAGGCAGTCTTCCTGCTGTAATTTCTGGCAGAATGTCAAGTTTTAGCCATGTGGCTACCAAGAAGCAGTTGCGGTTGCTGCAGTGGTGATGGCAGCTGTATCAGCCACTTCTGGGTTCCCCAGCACCTATGGCAGAATGTATTCTAAGCTTAACTGTTGCAAGCTCCTCCAGTCCTTCCAAGATTCCATAAACACATAATTCCTTATGTTAATTTACATTTTATTTAAAATACTTAGAGGGGTTTCTGTTCCCTACAGTGAGCCCAGATTGCTAAAGCAGGTCTCTCTCTGAGACCGCACTTAATTTATCCCTTTAGTGAGACTAATGAAATGATTAAATGCCAGGCCTCAGAAGAAATTATTCCTTGAGTTTCATATTTTATATTATTTTTCTTTCAAACACACGTTGGAAAATCAAAACCTGTAGACAAGTTTTCCCTCAGTATGTAATCCAAATGCTGTCAAATTAGAAATGAAATGTGTCTTGAAAACATTCAATTAAATGCTATATATTTTTAACTATCTGTTGTATGCCAAGCAGTACACCAGGTGGTGCTTATATAATCATGAGCTAGATATATTCATTGACTTCAAGGAGCTCACCCTTTGTAAGGAGGGATAGAAAAACACGCAATTTCAATGCAGTGTCACAGAGATGCATTGATGACAGGCAAAGGTTTTGATGAGAGCAAAGCTGAGTGGCACTGATCCCACCTGGGAAATGAGGTTTCGTGGAAAGCTCAGAGGTGGTGGTGTCTGATTGGAGCCATGATCAACAAAAGTTAGGAATAAGTCACATAGCACTGTTGGCTGACTACTCCACAATTTCTCCCCATTCCTCCAAACTGACCATTCCCACCTCCCACCATGGAGTTAAAATGCCGTAGGTTTGCATTAATAACCTCCTTTCCGATCGAGACCATCCCGGCTAAAACGGTGAAACCCCGTCTCTACTAAAAATACAAAAAATTAGCCGGGCGTAGTGGCGGGCGCCTGTAGTCCCAGCTACTTGGGAGGCTGAGGCAGGAGAATGGCGTGAACCCGGGAGGCGGAGCTTGCAGTGAGCCGAGGTCCCGCCACTGCACTCCAGCCTGGGCGACAGAGCGAGACTCCGTCTCAAAAAAAAAAAAAAAAAAAAAAAAATAACCTCCTTTCCAGCTATTTTATGGGCATGTGACACAATTCTGGCAAAGAGACCTGAGGAGACATCTGAGGAGGTGTTCATGGGACAGTTTCCCTCCTAATAAAAAGAATGGCACATGAAGGTTTAGCCCCATTATGTCTACCTACTCTTATCTTACATGCTGTTGTCTGAGAACGTGATGTTTGGTGCTGTGTCAACAACCTCAATACCTCCCGAGTGTATTGAAGTCTCTGAGCAAGGTCCTGCAAGGTGAACTATTTTTCTGTAATAACTTCTCTTTAGAAATCTCTGAAGAGCGGCCTGACCACCTGCTCATCTCCTCCAAGATATCAAATGCTGATCAGGCTACACTGTCACCTGTGGGCATTCATCTTGCCATAAATGAAGGATGCAAGTGGACAAAAGGACATCATATGCAATTTCCCTTTCCCCTACTTCTCTCCAGTTCTGTCCTCAGAGTCAATAAAGTAACCAACAGGAAACATTTTACCTTCTAAAGTATCCATTTGCTTCTGCCTTTGTTAATCATAGACTTCTCAATAACTTTGGCATAATTTGTCTTTTTCAGGAGATGTGACATTAATCACTTGTGCATTCAGACTCAGGAAATTCTAGAAATTCCAAGGAGAATAGTCATACTGAGACTCTGCCTTTTAGGATTTCCAAACAAAGATATCAGTTTTGGGAATTCCAAGGGTGGCACAAAAGTCAATTCTGACATAGGGCTTCTCAGATTATAAATTTACCAGGAGAGCAGAGAGCAGAAGAGCAGCATTTTGTTGTTGTTGTTGTTGATGACGATGATGGGCTGATTTTGGGTATTTCAGGGAAACCACGCTGTAGGGTTTTACCTTGAACTAACGTCTAATTGGACCAAGTGCGTGTCACTAACGTATTTTAAAAGTTTGTCCCATAGCCAGGAGGAAAGTGGGAAAATTGAGACAACATATTATGAGAATTAACAGGCAGGAGGCTGATGTATTGGTCTGTCTGTCTTGCATTAAAATAGAAATAGTTTCTCACCCAAATACCTGCCTTGTGTGTATATTTATCATAAAAACCCACAGTGAGTTTTGATGGCTCCATTTACAATATCTGTGCCAGGCAGGTATTTTTTCTCTCTTTCTATTTTTTTTTCCTTCAATTGACAAGAGATTTTGGGGAAAGATTCCTTTTAGTCATTACTTTTCCAGAGCAGTCAGTATTGCCTTAAGAAAAAAATACTCCGAATATAACAAATCAGGTTTCATAGTGGGTTTGTGACAGTTCAGGCAGGAGGGACAGAAAGCAGATTTGCATGAAGTTTGAAATCATTGCTGAATATCCTGCTTTGGAAAATTAGAACAAAGTTAGAGAAATTGACCTTGATATGGGAGGAGGGCCCGAGTGGACAAAATGTCTAGGACAAATCTTCAGGCATCATTTCAGTTAGTATAACACCTTCTTTGGCCTGGTCCACCAGTGATTCTCCTGCCACGTGGACCAGTGCTGATAAACCTGGAGGCTTCTGAGATTACCACCTTCTTTTTGTTCCTTGTAACTTGAATACCACGTCCTGACTTTCACACTTGCTTTCCTGAGCAAAATGTGTTGGAATGCGTAATCAGAATCAAATGCCTCTCCTTTTCTTTGCTCAAAGAACTCCTATCCACGTGTTAAGATTCTGCTTTCATCACCAATTCCGGAAACACAACTTGACCCCAGATGATCCACCTCTGTGTTTTTTGTGCTTTACTTGTCAATGTGGAGCTCACTGAGTGCAATTGCTGGGAGACTTCTCTTTCTGGCAACGTGGCTGGGTTGTAGGAGTATGCTGAGGATCGCATCCAGAAATTTTGACTCCAAAATGCTTTCTATTTTATTACTCCAAAGCTCAATTTAATATTGTCATTAACTACCTTATTAACAGTCAATAACTCCTCATTGCTCCTTAGTCCTTAAGCTATTTATTTTTTTATTTTTATTTTTTTTTGAGACTGAGTCTCGCTTTGTCTCCCAGGCTGGAGTGCAGTGGCGCGATTTCGGCTCACTGCAACCTCCACCTCCCGGGTCCAAGTGATTCTCATGCCTCAGCCTCACCAGTAGCTGGGATTACAGGCACCCGCCACCACGCCAGGCTAATTTGTGTGTGTGTGTGTGTGTGTGTATATATATATGTATATATATATATATATATATATTTTTTTTTTTTTTTAAGTATAGATGGGGTTTCACCATGTTGGCCAGGCTGGTCTTGGACTCCTGACCTCAAGTGATCTGCCCAGCTTGGCCTCCCAAAGTGTTGGAATTACAGGCGTGAGCCACCGTGCCCAGCCCCTAAGCTGTTTATTGTGGGGAAAAATGTCTCTGGGAGTTTTGCTCTGCTGTAACTAGTCTCAATCTCACAATTCTCCATTATCTCAGCACCACCTGGAAAACAACTACTTCAATTAGACTGATCTCATTAATCTCAGGGCCAATTGTGCATGTACTTTCTTCTTTGTGTTGCTCACATAATAGAATGCACGGAACGTCCCTTTACTTTCTCTTCCCTCTTTCAACTCTTTCAGTGCCTATGTCCCTCATCCCATCATATTTCCAATACTTTCTACCCTGTTTAAAACACTAATGAATCTTTCTTCCCATCTAGTCATTCTATTTCTAATCTTGTTACCATTATTTTTTACAAATTGCAACCAGAGTAATTTTTTACAAATCTGTAAATAGTATTATGGTTGACAATAAATATCTAATAAGTGTTGGCCAATGTCTTTAGCATTAAAAAGAAAGTTTAATGCATGGGCTTAGTACTTCTATATTTATATAGAAATTTGCAAACTTCACAAATGAGACTCATGTAATTCCCTTCCTTAATTTTTACAACACCAGAAAATAGGATGGTAAGCACATCCACAGTGGAAAGATACAGAATTTAGTGCCCAGGATGAGTCAGAATGCTGTTACTCCAAGCCACATGCCACATGCTCCTTCCCAAAAGCCATGGTAACCACCCCAGGCAAGGCATTTCCAGGATAATTTTTCTAATTGATTTGTCACATGTCATCAGGGTGCTTGTGCAGTTGAAATATCATTAACGAATGTCCTTGACTTGCTTTCCAAAATAAGCCCACAATTAGAAACTCCGACACGGAAGAGCATTCACTGGGAGTAATTTTTAGAAGTGCACTTGGTATGCTTAGGGAAGTGGATGGTAACTTTGCATTGAAATCACCAGTTTCTTTAAGCCTCTGATTTCTATGCTAGAACAGGCACTTATAAAAAGGCAGCATTAATTTTCTAAATGTTACAAGAGGGTAAGCGAATAGCTCTTGTTAGTGGTTTCCCATAATCACTTATCTATCTCTCTATCATTTTCTATTCATTACTAAGAATAGCAAAAACAACAGAGAATAATGTATGTGCCAGGGCTTGGACTAAGCGCTATGCAATGGTCACAACAATTCTAAAAGGTGGGTTTTACTGCAAAATGTTAGAGTGAAGCTCAGAGAGGTTAAGGACTTGTTCAAAGTCACTCAGCTTGGAGGGGTCAGGGCTCCAGTTACAGATAGATCTGTCTGATGCAAGACTAAACACTTTCCACTAAACCATACCACTTCCTAGAACTAACTCGAATATACCATACTCAATATCAGGACTTCCTTTTATCCCAGTTTCTTTTCTCATGCTGCTTTTCCTGTAATAATCTCCTCTGGGACCACATAAAGATTTGAAACCAAATTTTAGCCTTTTTTTAAAAAAAACTCAAAATAATAAGCTTTTGACTCCGTCAATACCATTGATATGTTTTATACTTAATTTACATAAATTAGTATGGATACTATATAATTTTTCAAAATCAGTCTATTTGACTTTCACATTTTAGGTGAAGTCTTGGTTAGGAAAGAAGAGAACATAATGGAAAAATGGGCATTTCCCAACCTCAGGGGATGGTGTGGAAGAGAAGACAGAGGACAGCAAGAAAGTTAGTGGCTAGGGCCTTCATCCCTTCTGTTTCCTTCCACACGCTCCCTTGATGGCTCTTGGAGAACGTTCACCTTTACCTGGGCATGGTGCCCAGCATGGTGTGGGAACAATGGAAGTGATGACTGGAGTGGCTGAAGCAGTTTTCCTGGATGCCTCGAATGACTGACAATGCATGCATGTACATCAGGTTTTCAGAAAAGCCAGGGAAGAGTTGGAGGTGTTGAAGGAGGTGTTGAAAACTGACGGGCTGAGGTCCAAGTGAAGAGGCTACAGTGTAACAAGACTTTAAGATCAAGGCATATGGCTAGTTCTATGAACACCAGTCCTGGGTGTTAGAACACCATCACAAAGAGCCAACAGCACACCTCATCTTCCATCAGTCCACAGAGGAGCCCAGAGCAGCCATTCCACATCAGACAAAAGCTGGGATCCCGCGGAAGCACCAGAGATCAGCAGGCTTCTTCTTTGCTCCATCACAAGAAGAAGCCACCATCAAAGGATGGGCAGGGAGAAGGGGTTGGATTTTTGATAAACTTTTTTTAAAAAAATGATTAAATGATAAAATTTGATTCATTTTTATCAAAATATAAGAAATCTAAGTATTTCTCTACTATTCAGATGATAAGCCTTGTGAAGATCAGATTAAATACAAAATAAATTTGTTTTTATTTATTTATACATTTGAGTAAATTGTGAGTAAATGTGTGACCCTGATAAATAAATATAACATTATTATTTAGCTTTGAGATAGTCTTAAGCCATTTTTGTGGTAACTGCTGCTTCCTGCCTCCCCCCTGGCCTTGAAATCCCCTGAAAAACTGTGAAGCAGGAATGGGTACTTCATTTGGGGGGGTCAGCATTCATCAGCTTGTGGATTGACAGTGTTTTAGGCACAACATAGAGCTAGTACAGTGCCCGCCCTTTTGTAAAAGCTCAGCAAATAGAGACAGACTGATTAGCACTAATTCCTGCCCACTACCTCTAACTGGATTGCAAGATCGGAGCCATCAGCTGGGCTGCTCTGTTAAAGGGAGGGCCCCTTCTCTGGCTGAAGAAGGCTCCAGTGGGGGTAAAGATGACAATTAGCATAGATGCCCCTTGCCTAAGTCTCTGCGGAGTTTAACTGAACTCCACAGAATGTTTAATCCCAACTAGTCCTCCACACGCAACACACACATGCCCCTGATAGTACACACCCAAACTCGTAAACTATATGATATAGTCAATTGCAGCAGGGATAAGAGTAATCAGGAATTACACATTACGCTTATAAATTGTTTATGAATCTTCATCTGATGGCATTCTTATCATCTCCCTGTGAGATATATGGAACACTTAATTGCGGATCTTATTATCCCATTTTACAGCGGAGGAACCTGTAAGAAATCTAGTTAAACTTGATTATTTAATGATACTGACTATTTCTTGAAAGTTTGGAGACATCCAAGGGTGAGGTGCTGGGCTCCCAGGGTTTCCACCATAACTATCCCTTAATGTATCTCCACCGGTAAGTGTCATTCCAATTCTCCCCTCACTGTTCTGTTCCTTGGGCTGCAACCCCTGCTAGGCCAGTTTGCTTCCCATTCTGCAAGAGTCTATGACAATTATGTTTCTCCACCTTTTTGCCAAACAAGGGAAGACTAGATCACGGAAACCAAAACCTAGCAAAGCAGCAAAGGGACCTGGAGTCCAGGTCTGGATTTGTGTTCATGCACCCAGGTGAAGTGTGCTCGTAAACTCTAGGAATTTCTGGGACTGGGGTCCAGACAAGTCATTAGAGTTTATGTTGAGAGTCAGCCTGCATGTCAAGCCTCAACTCTTGGTCTTATGTTCATGTCACTGGCTCTATTGACTCCCACCAATTAATAATGGTAATCATAGGTGATGCTGTTAGTAATAATTGCCAACATTTCAAAGGAGGGGAATCTCCACACTGCTACTGACAAGATGACACTCAGAATAATTAAATGAAGGGGAAAAATCCTTGCTCTGGTTGGAGGACAAGAGAAAAAATGAGGACTCAGAAGTTGATGGGAAGAAGAATGGTGGCATTTTGGTTTAGTCAGATTGAGAAGTGTGCCTTCCAGACACAGGGAATTATCTCACTTGAGCAGAATGAGCTCAAATGAAAAATGAGAGACAGAGTATTTTTTTCTTCTATGGTTTAATTTTCCATATTATTTTCATGTTAAGACAAAAAAATTGATGAAGGAGTTCTACAGCTGGCACCTCCTGAGATATCTTACTTGATCAAATCAATGGATTACGCTTATGAAATGGAAAGTGTTGACACAAATTAGAGTGAGAAATTTTCTATTCTAAAGCTGCACTTTCAATGTTAATTCATTAGATATAATGTGGCATAGGACATAGAAGCTGTGCTCTATGTAGGATTTTTACATACCCTAAAGGAATAATTTAGGATAGAGATTTAACCGCTCATTCAGTACATAGGCTGCATATTGAGTACCTACTATGTGCTGGGTACTTGGGGCATTAACACACGAGAAGCACTGAAAATTATTTTTGTGATGAGTAAATAAATGTTCTTATAGAGCCTGGCAACTCTGTGTTGTACTCAGCACCAGCAATGTAGAGTTATCTCTTTGTAGGTTTGCACCTTTCACCAGCGTATATGTTCCTCTAGGGCAGAGACCTTTCATCTTCTACACTTGATATTTCTGTCACAACTCAGGGTTGCATACATAGTAGAAAACATAGTTGATCCCAAACTTCCTGGTAACTAAGGTAAAAGAGAAACATTATTGACAACAATAGTATTATAATAGTATAGACATTGATTGAGCCCTAATTCATGCCAGGAATTCTTGACACCCTTGTAATATTTGTTCTACTGGTACCACTATTTTTCACATCAGAAAACTGAGCATTTGAATATGTGTAATGTGCCCCAAATAACAGAACCAGTGAGTGATATAACTGGGATTTAAATCGTGGTTATTTGTACATACTGTGTTCATTACCTATATAATCAGCACATTTTAACTCTGCCTTTTTAGGGAACACCTATCTTATGAAAAAAATTGTGACTTCAAATATGATAAAAAAATACAAAGCACAACACTCTATGCAGTGCAACAGATAAACAGAAGAATCAAAAATTGCCCTTTCCCTAAACAACTTTGATCCCGCACATCTCTCCATAGGCATTCAGGGTGAGATCTTCTTGAGTTATTCCAATCATCAATCTGGAGAATTCTATTGAACGACCACTCAATCAGTGGCAGCGCGTTGCAAGACATTTACAGTGATGTCAGCTTCTTTAAACTGATGATTGGAAAAAGTAGATGGATCTCAACCTCCCAGACAGTATCCAATGACCTAAATTAACTGTCACCTGGTTCTGCGTTATGGGTGGAAACCTGGTGTGACCTTGAGATATGGCCAACAGGAGATGGGCTGAAGTCTGTCTGCGGGCAGTGGCTGTCAAGACCTAAGCGTGTTGAGTGACCGATTGATCTGAATAGGCCTTTCCTATACATTCTCAATCTTTTCTTTATGGTTCATGAAGTTCATTACAATTGGAATGCCTTTTTCTCTTTTCCCCAAATTTCCACTCAGTGCCATATTCTGTACTTCTAAATGTTACTATTCGAATTCCCACTCTCATCATTGGCATTCTGTCTACCTCCTCCCACTGCTCATCTGTCTCTTTGATGCCCTTTTTCTTTCTACATTAATTTTCATGTTGGAGTTGAGACTCTGGACTGTTTTGAGCCTTATTTTTTTTTTCATTTTTTTTCATTGTGTTTCTAAGTCAGTAGCATTCAATCCTACCTCTATTCAAATGACACGAAAAATTTTAAAAATTGTTAATTCATTTCCCATTCCCACTGTAAACCAATGAACTAAAAATATCTGGAGATGGAGAAGGACGTTTGATATTTTGCATAAGTCCCTTATTTGCTGTTCAGCTGTAGGTGAAGTCATTCATTCCCATATCTCCAAATTCCTCCTTTGAGCTGATAACTTATAGCTGTATTTCCAGCTTTCTTTTCTGAGGTTCAGGTATATATACCCACCTACTTGTTTGAAGCTTTCAACTAAATGTCCAATAGGCATCTAAAACTCATTATATCAAAACCTGAAGACTTGATGTATTCTCCAAACCTATTAGGTCATCAAAGCAATGGAGGTCTAAGTCTCTGTTATCTACAGGCTGTAGCTTTGAGTAAGTTACTTACATTTTAGTCTCTTCAACAGTGAGATGATTACAGCAATGTCTGCCTGAGAATGAGTTGAATTAATAACACATGTAAAGTTCTTGCCATAAAACACAAGCTGCATTGACATCAAGAAATGATTGCTTTTTCTGTTAACATATTGTAAGCCTCACAAGAGGGTACTAATATCTATCATTTCTAGTACTGTATCACCAATGACAAACACCTGGCCTGATACGTCATAAACACTCAATAAATACTTGTTTAATAATTACATTTCTGGGTTTCAAAGTGTCAAGAATTTGAGGAAGCAACCAATGAGAAAAACCAGAGAGGAAAGTACAGAGGACAGCATGTCAGAACAGGATAGCAATGAGGCCATTTTCTCATGGATGGGAACCCCAGGATGTGGCCTGTACCTAGGTCTTTCTAGTTTCCAGTCCACGACCTCTGAAAAGGTTATTCTTTTACATTACCATATTATCAAGACATTTACCACGCAGCAGGTTTCCTGAGGAGTTCCTAAGTGTATATGTACAGGATTAGCAATAAATGCCTTTCATGCATATTACATTCAATCTTCCCACAAACTTTATGAAATAAATTATATCATAATTTTCATTGTATAGACTCAGAACTATGAAATATTTTATCCAAAGTCACAATCTGGAGCTGGAACTAAGAAATGTAATAATCTCAAACCCCTGATATTAACTATCATAATACAGTAAATGGAACATAACAACTGAGTGAGATACATCTGGGGATAAATTGGGCAAACTGAAGTCCTATTTAATTTAAATGTAATTCTGTAATCATAAGTGAATTCAAGAAGCAGCCATTGGTCCATTATTTAGAAAACCATGATAATACAGTTATCTGAGGTTTATTTTCTCCCTGCCTTTTGAAGAAAAACACACTGAATTGTTTTTTTCTTTCTAATTAAAGTATAATTAGCAGCCAAATCATCTGGTCAAAACAGGCAAGAAGGATGGGCACCCCTTGTTTAAAATACAGGCCCTCTTTTTGCTGGGAGAAGCCTCTTTAAGGCTCTTAATCCTTTGATGGAGGCTTTGTTTGCACAGTTGAGATTAAAAATTGGACATTTTAAAAAGAGCTTCGCATTAAACCTAAGCAATCATCTGGATACTATTAATGTCTCTGGTTTGCCTTTCTTTGTTTTGGAGACTGTCTTATGCACGTGGAATCCCAGTTCAAGGATTAATCTAAATTGGGTCTGTTATAGTAGATGACAGCACAGGGGTTTGTTCAAAATTAGCTTGTGCCTTCTGAGGCAGAGTAAATTATGCACAGCTCCTCAGGGATCACCTCCGACAATCTCCACCAGCACTTGCACCTGTAGCTGTTCATAGCCAGAGTTGTCTGCATAGACAGACAGCTGCACAATGGGGCCATGATATCAATAGATGACCTCCCCGCTCCAAATCTCCTGAATATCTGAGCGAGGAGGCTGCTGTGGCCTTAGATAATTGCACCTATTTTAGTACAATAGAAATCAACATCTCTGTGATAGAGAATGTAACATCTTCGTGCTGGGGAACCGACTGCTGCTCCTTCCCTTCTGCTGCCCTCACCCCCAAACCACAGTGCTGTACCTCTTCATTGAGTGGGATTATTTCTTCCTGGCCTCCTCTCCTCTACAACTATCTCCAGCTGTTTTTATTATAGCTTCCTGGATCGTGTCCCCCTCAAGTTACACAACCTTCCAGCTTTTGCTAGTCATGTTCCATTAAAAAAGTCTACCACTCTCCATTCACTGAGATTTCCAGAATATGTTATAAACATCCGCACTAAATGGAGAGCAAGTGCATTTATACTCACAAAAATATGTGAAATTCCAGGATTAATAACTTAAAAGGAGTTATAGTACTATTACATCATCTTGGCAATTTAACTGTTAGATCTGAAATCACTGGTGCTCTGATTCTTGAAGCATCCAGTGCAGAAAAGGGTCTGTAAATAAATGTATGCATTCTCCTTCCTTCTATGACTCTTTCTGTGAGTGCCAAAATTATTTCACCATTTTTTCCTCAGTTTTACAGACCCAAATCCTGGGGAGTCTTTTTTTGGTTTTAATAAGTGAGCATTATTTTTTAGGACAGTTGTAGTTTTACAGAAAATCTAAGAAAATTGTACAGAGAGTTCCCATATACAACCCCCCACAACCAGTTTTCCCTTTTATTAATAACTTGCATAAGTGTGCTACATTTGTTAAAATTAATGAACCAATAGTGATGCATTATTATTAACTAAAGTCTACAGTTTAAGTTTCACTCTTTGTGTTACACAGTTCAATGGGTTTTGACAAATGTGTAATGGCACATATCCCTAAAAGTGTCATACAGAGTCCTTTCCCTGCCCTAAAAATTCTCTGCACCACCTATATCGATCCTTCCCTCAGGACCTGAGGTAATTAGATTTTTAGTATAAGTTTTTATGTTAATCTGGCTAGAAGTTGGGCTGTGTTTAATGTTTGCTGTAGCTATAGATGCCTGAGGCTTCAGTTTTTTTTTTTGTATTTTTTGTTTATTCCTTTTTCTGCCCCAAAAAGAAAGAGGCTGTTTTTCTGATCATCATCGTCATGAAAATCTGGTAGGGCTTCTGAAGGTAAAATCTGGGATATGTAGTTAAGCCTCCCTAAGATTGGTTCCCCAGCAGTTTTTAATTCTCCAACTAGTCCACACTTAGGTGTAGACATTTGTAAAAATTGCCTTTACATATACTTAGCAGTTACTAGGACGAGAAGCTACTGTTATAGGTAAGTTGATCTTAGCTGTTATTCTGTGTATCCATCTGCCTCATTAGATTTAGGGTGGTTGTTTGCCCAGTGATCTCAATTTTCTGATGAATCTAAGAAAATTCATTCATTTTCACTTTGTTCATTTTGTTTTTCTTGTTATGAGAACAGGTGGAATGACTTCCAAGATCTTTATCTGTCAGAACTAAAACCCAAAAGATCCCCTTAAGTATTTTTAATTCCTTTCTTACCCCCATACTTTACCCTTCAACGTAACTCATTTTTTCATGCAACAATTTTTGTGCTACATGTATGGCATTTACTGTCTAGTAATTCAGCAGCACAAAGCTGACAAAGTCCTTGTTCTCATGGGACCTAAATTTCATTTGACAATGAATACAGTAGGAAATAAATAAACAAGTTTTTCAGAGCAATAATGTTTATAAAACAGCAGACTAATATGAGAGCGGGTGATCAGGTGAAAGCAGAAATAATTTAGGCTGGACAGTCTGTGAAGAAGTATTTTCAATAGTGCAGTCCACTGAGAACTGAAAAGTTGTGAGCTATGGTATAATATATAGGAAGAGCCTTCCAGGGGGAATGAATCCCAAGTACAAGAGCCCTAAGGTTAGAACATGTTCAATGATTCAAAAACACAGGAAACACCACCATGACTGAAATCCATTGAGCACAACAGGGTCTGCCATGACATGCACCTGAAGAGGAGACATAATGGTACAGATCAAGGCAAGCCCTGAAGTTTATGGCAGTACTTTGGATTTTATTATAAGTCATTTGGAATGTCATTGAAGTAGATATACATTGTATTAATCAATTTTCATGCTGCAGGTAAAGACATTCCTGAGTCTGGGCAATTTATAAAGAAAAAGAGGTTTAATGGACTCAGTTCCACGTGGCTGGAGCGACCTCACAATCATGGCAGAAGGTGAAAGGCACATCTTACATGGCAGCAAACAAGAGAAAATGAGAGAGCCAGGTGAAAGGAGTTTCCCCTTATAAAACCATTGGATTTCATGAGACTTATTCACTACCATGAGAAGAGTATGGGGAGAAACTGCCTCCCTGATATAATTATCTTTCACCAGGTCCCTCCCACAACACATGGGAATTATGGACGCTACAGTTCTAGATGAGATTTGGGTGAGGACACAGGCAAACTATATCAGACATTTCACATGATGTGTTTCTATTCATGTCTATATGCAATGGACAATAGTCAGTTTTAAATATGGACGTGACAGGTCATGGTGGCCAGGATCAGGATGATAGAAGTGGAAAAAAGGACACATGGATGGAGTTGGTAACTCTGGCATATCCTTAAAAGTAGCAGATTCAGAACACAGGTTTTGATGGGTGGGGTGGAGGTGGGGAAAGGAATAGAAGATCAAGGAAAACTTGTAGGTTTTTGTTTGATTATATTGAGTATTGGTCAGATTCTGGCTATATTTTGAAGGTAAAAACAAGATAATTTCCTGATAAACTGAACATGAGGCACCCAAGAAAGAGAGAGAGAAAATGACTGGAATGAACATGCTATCAATTGAGGTGTGGGAAGCCATACATGGCTTTTCCTCCCCTGTTCTGACATACAAAATGTTGATAATTAACTGATCAATTCTTTTATGTTCTATTTGCATTCAGAAAAACCTGATACACAAAGCAGAGAATAAGTCTGATTTGGTATGGTGATCTATCACTATCAAAAAGTCAAAACAATCACATCTTTAGTTGAAGCTTGACAATGTTTTGTGAATGTTTTGGGCAATGGGAGTTCACTGCTTACAGAGCAGAGCTCTCCCTGTAAGAACTTTGGCTTGTCAATTGATAAGAAGTCTAATAATCACTAGGCTTCCTAAATAAATTAAAAATTAATTATTTGCAAATCTGCCCAACTGTCAAAAGATATAATTAACTATCATTCAAATTTTTGTACATTAATAAAATAAGGGAACCGTCACATATAAAACATAGTCAGACCCCCCAAAATAAACTTTGATTACACAGTAATTCAAGCCCTCACTCACTCCACTATAAAACTACAGAAATGCCTTTATATTTATTGTTACACTTACTACATTAAATTGAAAGAAGTTTATATATATGTCTGCCTCCCGCTGCATCAGCAGTTCTTTAAAAATATGGCAAAGTGGACCATTCTTTGGAATACCCAATTAAAGCTTTGAATATCTTTTCCAAATATACATGCCTATACACACGAACATCTAATTTAGCAAATAATTGTATGGCTGGCCTCCTAAAGACCATCTGTGGAACTTTGATGGGGTCATCTGATACATTGCAGGACATGGCTGCTTCTGTGTTTCAATCTGATCCACATTAGGCTAAAATACTACTTGTGGAAGTAACAGAGACTGCATCTGTGCTTTAGAAACCGTACTTTGGAGTCTGGGAATTCAAACTTCTGTAGAGTAGGGCCATTGTACCTTCAACTCCTCTATAGACCCTGATCCTAGTACAGAGACTATGATAACTGCTAAAAGAAGAAATACAAACACACTGAAAGACACCAAAATGCTAGTCAATGAATGACAAAAATCATTGGATTACTCTTATGTAAGACATCTACTATAGTCAAAGTTGTAGGAATACACAATAGAATGTTGTTTACCATGGGATGGGGGAAGGGAATATGGAGGGTTGTTGTTTAGTAGGTATAAAGTTGCAGTTACACAAGGTAAGTAAGTTCCAGACATCTGCTGAACAACATAGAGCCTATAGTTAACAAGAAAGTATAGGATGCTTAAAAAAATTGTTAAGAGGGTGGATTTCATGTTAACTTTTACAAAAATAAAAATTAAATAAACAAAAAAGACAAAAAAAAAGAAAAACTTTACAAAGCTACACATGGAAACTTTTGGAAGTGATAAATATGTTTGTTACCTGGATTTTGGTTATATTGAATGTGTACCTACGCCCACACTCACCAAATTGTGTACATTAGTTATATGCAGTTTTTGTTATACCTATTATACCTGAATACAGCTATGAAAAAAAAAAAAGACACCTGTCTTGAGAAGTTAAATTTTCACTTAAAAGTAGAAATCCTTGTTGAATCTTCCAATTGCAGAGACCGTAGGGTTGGTGCTACTTTGTTCCACCTTCCTTTTTTGCAATCCAGAAAAGTTCTTGTCATGCTCCATATTTATATATTCTTAGGGAATGGTATTCAAATTTTAGTGTATTTGTTATTCAGGGAATTTTTATTACACTAGACATAACTTGAATGATGTTATTGTATAACATAATGAGAAAAATAGACCAACAAGGAACAATAGGGCCTGCAGAAGGAAATAAGTGCTGAATAGAAAACCAATGAGATGCTTGGGAAGCATCAGATAAAATAATTAGTTCTCATTAAGAAGTCAAAGGAGAGTTTATTGAATTGTTACATGATATATCATTTGCCTTTCTTTTTGGGTCCAACTCTCACCACCACCCTTGCTATTAGTCAGGATAGGACAACTTTATGCTTTAGTGACAAACAATTCCTCAGTCTCAATGGCTTAACACAAAGCACCACCTAACAACACAGTTTACATGAATTCTGTTGTAGATGACTCTCTTTGCAACAGTCCTTCAAGTGGTGACTCAAAACCAACCTGCCTTAACCTTTTGATACCCTCATTTTGAAGGCTCCCATGCTCACTGCCTTAAGGGAAGAAATGTACTGGAGACACATATGGAAAAGGGGCTTTTCAAAGTCACAGTTCAGGTAGAGCACACATTACTCCTGCTCAGATTTTATGGGTTAGAAATAGTCATGTGGTTCTATCGGATTGCAAGGAGACTGGGAAGTGGTTGTCCACATACCCAAAATAGAGAAGTGACACAGGATGTGATGAGTCACTGCACTGCCCCTTCCACACCCACTCTCATCATGACTCTAGACTCACCATGACATTTAGATTCCTCGAACATACCCAAGACATATGTTGCTTTGTTACCCACTACGCATATTTTCTTAGAATTGTCAGAAGATACTCTGGGTGGTATATACTGTCCCTTCAAATACTTGGTTATCCTTTAAGGTATCTGTTCCAACGCCACCCTTCTTTCACTTTACACCTTGGAAAAGCTGGATACTTCTAAATTTGGGATTCTCCAGAACATCTTACACATTTTGATTAGACTTGTACAACATATAGCACTTGTATCATTTCTTCCCTGTTTTATGTGTCTTTCTTCCTACTTTGCTGTTTTTAGGTGGGTGGGTAGAGACAACATTTTATTGTATTTTGCTTATTCGTTTTTCACTGATTTTTGTTCACAGCACTTGCAAAATATCTCACACATAATAATGCTTAATAAAAGGTTTCTCAATAGGCTGGCTTTGTATCTAAAACTTAAAGAGTTAGAACATATTATTTTTTAAATTTTTTCCTTCTATTCATCTTCTTCTTTAAGACTAGGTCAACAAGGGTCATATTATCATCGTTCTGTACATATTGGAAGTGCCTAATCCTCTACAGAATAAGAGAACATTTATGGTCATTTTTCCACTTGACCAGTATCTCAGTCTAACCGTTATTAATGGAAGTGAGATAGAGAAACTCAATTAGGATAAGAAAGAGATGATATCTCTAGCTCAAGAGTAACATCAAGAATAACTTAATTGTGTTAAACTTTTATTCTTATGTCTCTAAGCTATAAAGAGCTCCACTCAATATATTATTTTCCTATTCTTAGCTTGAGAAATTATACTTCATTTTAATACCTAATTTAGTTTCATTTCAAATTTTCATTAAAATGCTGCAGATTCTCTTCCTCTGTTAATGCAGATAATCTGTCTGGACCCCAAACTATCCCCATCAGCACGTACTTGCTGCCAGACATTTTTTTCAGCTATATAAATAGTCATTTTATTACTAATCATATAATAGAAATATATGATTTACGTAGGCAGAGCATAGTGTTTCATTAAGATAAACTAGAAAAGTTTAGACCTTGAGTTAAACCCAGGGTAATTACTTCGTCATTACCTTGCCCACAGTTCTTTCATTTCCAGCTGTTTGTTATTGGTCAATTCTCTGCTCTGTTTCCTTTGATGAAATTTATGGTGGTCCATCAAATAGTCTTCAGCTCTCTCAGAAAGTGATTCTCTCGCATGTGTGTTCTATTTCCTCCACTTGAATATATATACCTAAAATAGCAGTGAAAATAATGAAATACAATACAGAATAAAGGTTTATGCTTTAGATAACTTAAGACCTCGGTTTAAATTCTGTGTGTGTGTGTGCGTGTGTGTGTGTACTCATATAGTTAGCACTAAATTGGCACCAAGTTTGCCAGTGAATTAGTCTGTTTTTATGCTGCTGATAGAGACATACCCAAGGCTGGGTAATTTATAAAGAAAAAGAGGTTTAATGGACTCACAGTAAGGTGAAAGGCATGTCTTACATGAGGATAGACAAGAGAGAATGAGAGCCAAGTGAAAGGCAAAACCCCTTATAAAAACCGTCAGATCTCATGATACTTATTCACTACCGCAAGAACTGGGAACTGCCCCCATGATTTAGTTAACTTTTACCGGGTCCCTCCCACAACACGTGGGAATTATGGGAGTTACAATTCAAGATGAGATTTGAGTGGGGACACAGCCAAACCGTATCAGCCAGACATTATGTTAGGCACTGAAAAAAGGCAGTGAGTTGATCCTCTACTGCCTGAATGCTCCAGCAGAAAAGGAGAAATGTAAAGCTATTTTGCAATTGAGTGTGAATACTGTTGTATTAAATGTGCAAAAGACATTTCAAAGGAAATGTGCAGTTTTTGCTGAAAGATGAATCAAAGAAGCCTTCTCAGAGAAAGGAAGAAATGCAGTCTAAGAGAATGAGAAGGATCTGTCCCTTAGTGGGGAGCAAGAGGTTTTCTCAGCCAGGGGAAGTAGAAAGCTTTGACTCCTGGTTTATGTCCCACTTTTAGACTGTCCCAACACTGTTGAGGCAGAGCAATTCTAGACTCAGACAGTCACAATGCTCTGAGCTCCTATCACATGGCTCCAGGAGAGGGTGGATGATTTCTCCAAGCCTCTGTGTAGCAACGACACAAAAGCACAGGTGGAGGGAGTCAACATGGATTCATTACTGACCAGTGACCTTGACAAGAATTCACAAGAGGGATGACAGCCCTCCTTCCTTCTCTAACTTTCACCCCCAAGGTCTTCTTTATATACATGATTTTCCTGAATTTACTCATGTAACTTCTCCTGCCTAACCTGGATGTTTTGCCCTTTTCCCCTGCCATCACGTCTGCTCTTAGTCTATACTTCCCATTGACTGACATCTTCAGAAAAGTGGAGGAATAAGCCCCAGTGTGTATTTAGGGAAAGGAACACTGAAAAATGAGTGGGCCAGAGCATGAAGCCCATGTCAAGAGGAGGTAGATATCAGCACAGAAATGGCAATAGTCTTAGTGGCTCAAAGGCCTGGGGTGCCAGACTAAGTCCCTGCTTCACACCACAAACAGTGGAGAGCCACTGCAGGGTTTAAGCAGGAGAGGTGTTGGACACATTTACTGGAGATGTTGCCCCTGCAGGCTGCTTGATGGATGTAATGGAAGGGATAGCTTGCACTCAGGAGGACTCAAAGAAGCCTGTGGGATAACTTTACTTGAAAAACCTGGAGAGCTAGGCTTTGACTGTGGGACTAAATAAGGGAAACTTATCTAAATGCTAAAGGAATAGCATATCCAAGATTAAGCAGCTGGGTGTGGGGAGCAGTGCAAGTGTCTTTATCTCAGTTCCCTTCAATCCTCTTTGAAATCAGAAAATATTTGCTCAACCACAGAAGAGAATATGAACATGAATGAATATTACTAAGGGCTGGAAGCAGAAAAGATAGATTAGAGAGCCAGCACTTACTTTTATCTTTTTTCTTTTTTTTTTTTTTGGTCAGATTCTCGCTCTGTCAACCAGGCTGGAGTGCAGCAGTGTGATCTCTGTTCACTGCAACCTCCACCTCCTGAGTTCAAGCGATTCTCCTGCCTCAGCCTCCCAAGTAGCTGGAATTACAGGTGTGCACCACTATGTCCAGCATTTTTTTTTTTTTTTTGAGAGATGAGGTTTCGTCTTGTAGGCTAAGCTGGTCTCAAACTCCCGACCTCAAGTGATCCACCTGCCTCGGCCTCCCAAAGTGCTAAACTATAGGCATGAGCCACTATGCCTGGCCCTCAGCAGTTACATTTCATAGTGGATAAAACCTAAATAAAGCCCATGGCTTCCATTGTGGTTTTTCTCTACCATCTTCTGTAGAAAGAAGGCAAAACAAGATTCACCTCAGGTCAACCATTTGAAGACTAGCTTGTGAAACTAAAGGAGGCAATCATATTTAAATTTTGAAGCAACCTTTGATGATCAGGCTGAACTCTCCAAAATAGCATCTGGAGGAAGGCAGTTGGAGTTCTAAATCACAGACTTAAGCAGAGTGACTGAGACATTTTCTGAGTTTGACTTTAGAGAGCTAGTCCTACTACATCCTTCCTCCAACCTCGTTCCACAAACACAGCCTTTGGTAGGAGGAAAAATATCAATGTCCTGGGACTCTTGGTTGTACATTGCAGACCTCCAGGCTTGCCACATTTAGGTGAGTTGGCAGGTTCCTTTCTGCTGTGGACATGAAGGTTTGCAGCAGCAACAGCAGTTGGTGTCCAGGCGCACAGCCAAAAACAATCCAGATAACAAGCATTATATTGCCCTTACTTGTGTCTTAATTAAAAGGGATGCTATTTAAGAAGTGCTGCACTAGTATGAAGGACTCAGGAAGGCTGAAATCTGTTGTTTTAATTATTTCATATCTTCTTGATCAATTGTATACTACCAAACATAGTACACAATTGGTCAAGGATATATGGAGTTAACATAGAACTTTTAGACCAATAGAGGACCTTTGTGAGAGTGAAAAGGGTCATTCTTAATAATTATACTAGGATAAGAGGCATAAGCAGACCTCTCTTAAGCAGGTTGGAGCATATGAAATCTTATAAACAGCCTGTTTATAAGATTTAATGCCATGACATTTCATTAAATGATGGAAAATAAATAACAGGCATTAAGAAAGGATTTTTAAACTGTTTGTTTATTTCCCACTCTAGGCCTTTGTATGTTGTCCTCCCTCCCTCCCTCCTTCCCTCCCTCCCTCCCTCCCTTCCTTCCTCTCTAACACACGGTGTTTATATTAACCATCATTATCATAACCCCTGTCATGTAAACTGCAATCAAAGACGTGTTATTGTTTCCTTATTTCCTCTTTTGGTTGGGAAGGGAGTTTTGTTTCCCAGGTCAGGTCATACCAAACAACTCTATATAAAAGATATTCCTCAAAAGGCATCAACAAGAGAGCAATTGCTCAGTTAGAAAAAAGGTTGATGTAAGAAACTCCTGTGGAATCAGAAGTCAGGTTATGGCTTAAGGGATTGAGGCATTAAACAAAACACTGGGCTGGATGATAGAGAATCCTGAGAAACTAAAATTTTCTCCGAAAGTTAAGAGCTAAGACTCTTTACACCTTTGTCACCCAACGCCTTAACACTCAACATAACCTGAACTCCTATTCAGTAGTATCGTTTAGATCCCAAGTCTGTTATAGGACCAGGCCTAATGGAATGAACATGACACATATAGGAATATGAAGGAGTTTGGCTGAAAACCCAGCTTCACCACTTTCTAGCTATATGACTGGAAACTTATTTTATTTCTTGTTCTTTGTCCTAAATGGGACTAATAATCTCATTCCCATCTATCTCATAGGTATGGAGTAAAGATTTATGGAAATAGTAGCAATCAGTAAAATAAAACCAATAATTGTTCTCATTCCTTTAGTGCTTAGCATACATATGTGTAAGTGCTAGTTAAGTACTTTGCATATATTACCTCATTCAGTCCTTACAAAAATGTTGTGAAATAAATAGCATTTATTTATAGATTTATAGGTTTAAAAAATCAGTCACAAAAGGGTCAACCTAAATTTTTCCAAATTCACCCAGAAATTAATGGTAGAGGTAGAAGTCAAATCTAACTTTTTCCAGATTCCAAAGCTCATATCCTAGCTATGGATGAGAAATGACTTAAAATAATTCTATGGATTATTACTAATATGAATGCCTTCTTGTATTTGTTGTTTTGCCCAGGGATCTGATGTTGCTTTCATGAGTAACCGATGCCTATGACACTGACAGTTCTTTGGTGTCCCTTGTACCATTTAAAAAGGTACCTAGTTTCTTGCTATATAAATGTAAACCCTCCATTATTGTGAGGGAGGCATTCTCTGTTAAATTAAAGTTAAATACACAGAAACTCAGAGAGGTTGTAATATACCTGAATGCTCAAGCTCTATAAATAGTGGGGATGCATGAGGACCCAAGGCAAGTTTTTTTCATTTTGGCATAGTACCCTGCATAAAATGATAATTCATCAAATATTAAACTTTATTATTACTATAGTAAAAAATAAACGGATAAAATCAACATGAAGAAAAGAGTTAAGAATGGCACCGTATTTACATTGTTTATAAATTTTTAAAAAATAAGTCTTTAGAGACACAGAGGTACAAATGTTCTTTAGAGAGTTGAAAAACTAAGACAAAAACACACGTGTAAGATAAGACAGCCCCATCAATGTAGATTTAAGTGACACTTGTTACCAAATGGCTTCCCTGGGGGACAGAGAGATTTCCATGAGTGAGCTTTATATTAAGGAATTCTTATGATTATGGAATTAATGACTGTGAGATAAAGATTTAAAAAGTATGTTCAGGCAGGAGGAGAAGTTGAACTTCAGTGCAGTTTCAGTGCATTCCTCAGCCAGCCCCATGGAAATCTTAAACCTCAAATGATCATTTAGAGTTGTTCCAAGATGAGGTAAGGAGGCTCAGCCACTATACTTCCATATCTAAAACTCACTGGAGGCAGGTCACTTTGGGAAGGAAATATATCTTTGGACTTGAAGTTGAGGAATTAAGTCCTTCATTCTTGAAAAAAAATCTTGACTTCACATAACAACGTGATATCTGAAGGTTAAATACTACAACCTGGCCTCATTTGTATCACGATACTATTAACCCCATCTCTAGGAGTGAGTTTCATTCTTCAATGCCCTTTTTGTAGCATGTGCCTGACATAAAGAGGAAAGCCATTACTGAAATGCTCAGGGTGGTGATGTACTTCCTATTTGTGCATTCTTTATTATTTTGGTAAATGATACGTCTTCCAGGCTCTTCTGTGGAACATAATCATCTGTTAGGGGTCAGGGAGCAATGGTGGTTCCAATATTACACAATACATGTTCTTAATGATGCCTACTTGTATCATCCTTTTTATCCTATCTAGAACCATCTGCAATGCAATTCAGGCATTTCAAGATACTTATATGAGCCACCAATTTTACCATGCATCTAGAACTACCCTTGTAGCATGTTTGCACTATCTGCTGGGGACTTTGCCAAGATATTAAACTCTATGACTTGGAAGAGTCTTCCCAAACTGGTAAATTCCCCTCTATTTAATCTTAAATTCTGCACCCTATCTTTTTATAGCACCCTCAGAATCCAAACCCATGTGACCTTTGCCAACTGCTGTCAGCGGGTGTTCGTTAGGTCCTACAGTTTATTTGATGCATAGCCCCTTTCTTCCTTTACAAGGACCAATTTGTCCCATCAGAATATGTTGTGACTTAACCCTAGTTATTGGCCTAACATCCAGGAGAGGAGTTGAGGGAAGATCTACATGGAGGACATGTTGTCCTTCTAGGAAGAAGTTTCTTATCATCTTCAAGCAATAGGACAGTAGGTACTTCTGCAGGATCAGAAGATTCAGGGGAACATACAGATTCAAAACTTTTTCATGCATCAGCTAAGATGTATCAGAATCTCATTCTTTCATAACCAGGATTCTGGAATGGCATAAAAGATGTTCCTAGTTGGGAGCTTATTTTTGGAGTTTGACTACTCCTACAATTAAGCAATTAACCATGTCCGCAGCTTTCTCTGCCATACAGCTGCAGGAGATGAGATCCTCTCTATGTGTTCCAAAGAGACCCTCTGGTTTTCAAATTAAGCTCTTACTTGCTGATCAAACAATCTCAACTTCTTATTATTTATTTTTTTAAGCAAGACTTGGGCTTAGCTATAGATTCCCAATTTCACTGTTTTCATAGTGGCTATTTTCCCCATATTTTTTCAAATAACATATTTATTGTACCAGATAATGAATTGCTTTCTAATGGCATGCCATTCCACTTCAACACCAACAAAACCTTTAATAAATGCACTGCTACTTTTTGTAAAGTCCTGATTTGTGATGGGATCCTCATTGTCAGCAGAGGGTAGGTGCTACAGCTCCAACTCTTATCCCAGGATCAGCTTTCTCAGATCATTTCCAGCGCCAGTTGTGGATTTCTTCAGAAGTAGACTGTTACATAGACATTAGCATGCAGAAAGATTATTAGGTAGTATTTCTGGGATGAACTACACTCATGGTAACTGAGAAAGCAGGACTGGGTAAAAGGAAATGTGAATTTATGAAGTAATCTCATTGGAGGTCTCAATCTAAGGGAGATTCTGATGCTTTGATGACCCTTCAGAGTTGTTCTGATTTGGGATTGGGGGAGCTGTTACTTTTATCTTCACTCCATCAGTCATTAAATATGGTATGGCCAAGGAAGGTGGCGTGATTTTGAGAAAGCTTGTGTTCTCCATCTGAGACAATTCCCACAGGGGGCTGACAACACATAGCTTTCCACGGACAGCACTCCCAGAAGCTGAGGGACTAATCCTGTCATTCCTGAAAGAAGGATCTGGATGGCACATCAATGTTCATTTCCATATCCCAGATGATGTTAAAACTGTGGTTCAATGCATTGTTATTTCTAAGGCTGTGCTGATGACTAATTTAAAAGGACTCTCCTCCTCAGATTAGAAACCATTAAATATTAAAAGAGATATTCATTTTTTCCCATATCTACAATTATATTAACTTTGTTTTTCTTAGCAGGCTATCTGTTTCATCCCAAATTACATGAAATTTTCAACAAGTTGATAAAACTCACTATTGCATTGTGATGACATTTTGGGAACAATTTTACTTTATACTGCTACCTCTTCCACTGACCTCCTTAATTCATCAAAGAAGGCCATTGAGCCATTATTCTTGGAGTAAATGCACCTACATATTGAATATTCCCATCTGTGCAAATAAGAAGATAATGCTTTCCTTCTTCCTAAAGGATGAGATACTTGCTTCAATAACTGACCCAGAGCCATATAATTAAGTGCTTGTGGATCATTTATATATGAATATATTAGCCCATTTAGTCCTTAAAACTTCTTCATGTAAGCATTTTATAGATGAGAATTTGCCTCCCAGAGAGGTGACTTTTCCAAAGGGGAAATGAATAGGGATGTGGGGGGAAGATCAAGATTTAAAAGGAAAAAAAAATATGTTTAATGTTAACTCCACAGGAAGTGTGGAGGTTCCACAATGCATGGAGGTTCCATAGCGCTTGAAGTCTTTGCAACAGCGTCAGTGGCATTCCCTTCACACTGAGGAAAGACCTGATGGCTCAGAGTCACGTAGAGCAAAGATTTGAACCATATTCTCTTTCAAATTTCAAAACCCAAATTCTTTCCACTCTATTACACTGCTTTTATTTTTAGAATGTTTGTGAAAAATGCTAACTTTCCGTTCCTTAAATAAAGTTTTAATTATAATCACAACAACAATTACAGCTAAAATATGTTATGTGTTTACCATGGGCCATGAGATGTCTGAGTCTTCCAGAGAGGAACAATTGGAAGAAGAACACCTCTCCTTTTGTTTACTGAATCTAGACAAATTAAAAAATATCTTTTCTGGCTGGGTTCAGTGACTCATGCCTGTAATCTCGGCACTTTGGAAGGCTGAGGTGGACGGATCACTTGAGACCAGGAGTTTGAGACCAGCCTGGGCAACACGGCAAAACCTTGTCTCTACTAAAAATGCCAAAATTAGCTGGGCATGGTGGTGCACACCTGTGATTTCAGCTATTCAGAAGGCCGAGGCATAAGAATTGCTTGAACCCAGGAGGCAAATGTTGCAGTGACCCAAGATTGTGCCATTGCACTCCAGCCTAGGTGAGAGAGTGAGACTCTGCCAAAAACAAAGAAAAAAAAAAGTCTTTTCTCACAGTAGTTTATGATTGTCTGTGGGCCAGATTATACCATGTCATTGCAGAATAGCCTAATAAGTCTAATTTCCAAACCACTGAATCCCTGGCATATAGAGGTGGCCTCAATATAGAGAATCACTGCAAAGTGGCCACCTAGTGACAGGAGGTGCTAATTCATTTCCACGGCCCTCTACCTGCCTTTTCTGACTGATAATTATCAGGCGCATCTCCAAAGAATGTAACTCTTCCTTAATGATCCAGGGACCCCACTGAAGATGACAGGGTAGTACTGTAAGCATCTGGAAAAGATATAAAATATGTCTTTCTTGCACCTCAATATTTTATATAAGACAGGGGTATACATGTTCTAGAATATCACACATTCCTCCTTAATTTACTATGAGAAAAAGAAAGCTCGCTATGTTTTGTTTTCTATATTTCATTATCTTTTAGCTTTTGATTCTGTGGCCCTTTTTCTGGGCATTTTAACTCAGCTTTTACTCTATCAATAGTTACCTGGCATGTTCTGTGTTACACATGACACTTCCTTCCCATTGATCACATTCACCAATGCCAAAACATGACCATGTTGTATTCACTGACTTATCTCCAGGGCTGAACATAATACCCAGTCAAGCTGAAGTGAATCAATTCATTTCTCAGTTCAAAATTCTTACGTGGCTCCTGAGATCTCACCTTCTAGAATTACCTCCCTCTCCCGTATGTATCTTACATTGCTGTAAAACTCTTTGTCTGATACTTAAACTAATAATCCTTATCAGTCAGGCGTCAAACAGAGAAGCAAAACCACTACACTAAGACACACACACACACACACACACACACACACACACTTATTTGTTACAGAGAATTTGGCTTATGCTATTGTGGGTCTAGTTAAGTAATCTCTATGAGCAGTTTTCCTACAGCTTAAAGTCCACAGGCAGGCAGGCAGGAAGGGAATATGTTGAGCAGGATGAAACCCTTTGAGCATAAACTGGACAGCACACAAATAGACTGAAATTTGTATCTATTCTTGTTGCCACTGGTCTTGGCACATGGGTATCCTGAAGAAACCAGGGTCTCATCATCATGGAGGTAAACACACATAGATAGGAGCCAGAAAAGCTGAATGAGAATCCAGGGAAGGTAGAACAATTGCAAGCCAAAATACTGCTTCATGCCAGTGAAGTGAGTCAGCAGATCAGTAGCAAAACTGGCGAGAACCTCTGTTGTGGCCCCATCTGACTGGGAAGAATGTTCTAGGAGATGTATTTTAGACTACCCTAGTTTTTGCCTTAGAGAATCATCACACATCATCCTACCCCACTTTCCTTCAGTTTTCAGTGACTGCTTACTTGTTTATAGAAGAATCCACCTAAATTCCTTATCTTAGTATCATGTTTTTGTTATTAAAACTCTACGGACTACAGTCTTTATCGCCATCCACTATGTTGCCCACCATTGTCCTGGTGCTTATGTTCATTTATTGTGTGGTTTGATTGAACACTTTTTATGTAGCAAGCTTTATTCTAGGTCAGAAAGCAGGGTGGGCAGAGCGTAGCCCTAAATACGTAGACAAGGTGCCTAATCTCGTGGAGCTTTTATTCAGCAGGTGGTGGTGAAGTCAAGATAATGTTAAAATAATTTAATAATCAAACAAGCATTACTCTTTGCTCCAGTAATGCAGGGTTACTTGTAGATCCCAAGATATGCTGGGATTCCTTACACATCTGTTATTTGCACAAATGTGAGCCTCTGTCCTGTCTCTCTGCTCGGGAAGCAATAATGTGGAGACAAGTTACAAAAAATAAATGGGGTGTACATTTGGCACTTGAGGAGAGGAAGATAAATGCTTTGTTGGGAGGTGGTCAAAGCTATTGGTGAAATGACTACCTTCTGTAATTCTTGAGCACCTGGCTGTTCCTCAGTTTGTATGGCAAAGCAGCTTATGGCAGTTGGACTGGAAGTGTAATTGAGTGGTCCTCTTCTGGCAGCATGGACAGGGAGCCTTTCCAATACAAACAGTAGTGCATTTCAACAACCGATGCCTCTGGTTACAGAGAGGCAGCACAAGGAAATTATCCTGTCTCTGGCTAAACTGTGTAGGTTGCACTGTTGCCTCTATCATTTACTGGCTGTGTAACTGAGCAAGGTGCTTCATGTCTCTGAATCTGCCTCAAGAGTTACGAAGTTTATATGAGAAAATACATGTGATTCACAGAAAACTATGTATGTTATGTAGTACATTCTTAGCAAATGGTAGCTTATCTTCACCTTTATAATATATTCAGAAAATACAGATGGGAATTGTTCATGAGTTAGGGAAATTTATTTTCTTCCCTGCAAACATTCCAAAGAATAAGAGTAGGTAAAGTCAAATTTTATTTTAAATATGTGTATTCTTGAAGGTTTGCATTTCTGGGTAAACTGTGCTGAAAAATGTGTTTGGGTCTGAGGATAACCGGAATATCATATTTTTCTCCTTACAGTAAAGGTGACAGAGGTTAAAGGTAGGGGCAACAGAGCTGGAGAATAGCTGTCTTTTTCAGGTGGGCCCCTCTTGTCTGACTTCTGCTCTAAGTCATAAAACTCAAGGTCCATTTAGACATAGGAGATTTTGAGAAAGTGACTCACAAGAGGGATAGAGGTTTGGGTAAAGCAGACTTGGGTGGGGTCTAGCTCCCATGAATGAAGGTCTCATGGAAACAAACAAACAAACAAACAAAAACTGGTAGTGAAAGCCAACATGCCCAGTAACTTCAGTGACATTGACTTAGTTTCCCTTTCTGGGAGTGTTTAACTTTAGACCCCTGTAAGAAGGTAAAACCAAGATTCAGATCTGTGCTTTCCTGCTGGATTTTAAACCTTGTATTTCCAGAGCCTGCAATACACTACCATAGAAATTCCCCACATGACCTGTTGCTTGTCATTGCCTGCCACTCTTCAACTCTTTGCAGCTCCTCCTTCATCCAGCTGCCCAGATGCAACCCATTGAGTCGCAACCAAGCTTCTTCAGTCAGCAATTTCTCCACCGGTCCCAGGTCTTCAGGTTTGACACTCCCATTACAACCAAAATTTCCTCAGACTTAGATCGGGGCTCAGTGCACAATTCTCCCAGGCCCTTGAATTGATGCATCCTGGGAGAAATTACTTACCCAGTCCTACCACGGCCTTGTTCAGTTCCTAATTGTGGAATTCCTTCAATGTAGTGATATTGTCTGAACATCATGCTCTCCTGGAATGCTACACCTTTGACATCCATATTTCTAATATGATCAGTTTCTAAGTACTTCAGTTTTTATTAATGTAAAACAAAGACTGCCAAATTTAATATCACATTTCTCATTAACAAAATATAAAGTTCTACATAAACATATCTCAGCTTGTTAGACTCATACCTCTTACTGCACCCTACATTATTTCCCACTTTGTATGTGGCAGAACACAATATTCAAAACGCCAAAAAGTATCTTCTGTTCTGAGAAATTACTGGTGAGATTTTAGTGCACTAAGACATTCCTATCTAGCACTGGGACTTTAAAGTCAAGCTTTGGAAATTATGCTCCTGCTGATGGCTTCAACCTTCAGGCATGAGACTGGGGAACTTTGATGGGGAAAAGCAAAGGAAGCCTCAGTCTTATTAACCTATGCTTTCATGTCCCCAGAAGCAACCTCCAGGCCTAGTTGCCACAGGAAGCCCTGGCAACTTTGGCAGGAATGAGACAACAGTGCTCTAACACTGGATGAATTATGGAACTGCCTTGTCAGCTCAGAGGAGGCTATATATTCCAACTGGACTGTCCTGGTTTCTGAGTAGCTGTTCTAAGTGGACAGGATTATGGGAAATGTTCCAGAATGGCCATATTTCAAGGCCAGTCTAACGGGAGGAGGCTGCTTTGATGTGAATTAGGGTGTCCCAAACTTAGTAATGTATGCACAGTCTTTATGATGCTACCTAAATTATATTCCTCCTTACTTTACTGACATCTTAGTTAAGTGTTTTTTATTAAAAGAGTATAAACTTCATCTTATCACTGTGAATGGAAAATCAGTATGACTGCCATGAAATACTTGTTAAAAAATTAATAAACATAATGAAAACAACAACTGTTATCATTTAAGATTATTGATATAATTAGAATGATCCACCATATTTGTAACTGTTTTCTGTTCATCATATTTGTTTGTTAGTTTGTTTCAAGAATAGTCTTATTGAGATGTAATTCATATACTGCACAATTTCAACATGTTAAGAGCTTGGAATTCATTATTCATATTCTTAAAAGAAAAAACTGAAAAACTGATATTAAACAACTTTTGCTGGACTTATCAGAGAACTGGGGTTGCATGACAAACCGCCACCCTGGAATGCATATAGACAGGTAAATTTAAAGAGGGATACCTGAGATTTGCTTACCTAGAACAGAAGATGCTGGAGCCATAAGCTGTTTAAAAAAACACTTAAATAGTAATTTTGAAGAATTGCTGATGTCCAAGTTTAGACAATTGTGACAATGAGAAATTATTGAGGGTTACTGACTCAGGAAGATCACCACACTTTTGTAAGTTCTGACAACAGGAATGCAGCCAGGTTCTCATAGTGAAGAAGCCAAACAAACTCGCTTGTGACTCTAGGATGGGCAGACGAAGGCCAATTCTTGGGAATTGTCCAGAGTATTATCCATAACAAACGCCCATTTCTAGGTTATAAAACTTTACCAAAACCTTATCTCACCTAAACATAGAGCATGTCTCCTGCTCCAGATCCCTCAAGACATCCTATCTCATATCAGGATGAAAACAAAAGTTAAGAAACATGTGTAAAGGTCACAGGCCAGGAAAATTGGCTTACTAAAACAATTAGTTAATCAAAAGATTATAGAACCCTTCTTCTCTCCAGTTTACCACCACACCAATAGGACTTCAGTATATTCACAGGGGATAAACCAGCTGAAAGAGCTTCAAGACACACACTCTCTGAGGAAAAGTATTTAGGGAAACCCAACATCAAGAAGAGAGACAAAAACAAGAACACTAGAGGAATTAGAAGGCTCTAATACCTCAAATAAAATAAAAATTAAACATAGTTCAATTCTTAGCCATAAATCCTCACACTAAGGGCCAATTAACTTTGGTTCCTAATAGCTGGTATGTCATGTTTGCTTTCAATAAAAAGTCAAAAGTCATGCCAAATGACAAGAAAAACAATAACATGTATGAAGTGACAAAGCAATTGTCAGAACCAAACTTCGATCTGACACAGATGTTGGAATTATCAGACAGAATATTAAAAACAACTCTAATTAGTGTGCTAAGGCTTATCAGTAAAGGTAGACAACATAAAGTAACAGTTTGGTAATGTTAGCAGAAATTTAAAAATTAAGAAATAATTAAAAGAAAATGTTAGAAATAAAAAAAACCCACTGTATCATAAGTGAAGAATGTTTTCAATGCGTTCATCTGTAGACTGAACATCACCAAAGAAAGACTTAGTAAACTTGAAACAGGTTGGTAGAAACCACCAAATTAAAAGGCAAACGGTAAGAAAGAAAACATAACACAAAACAGAACAGAACATCCAAGAACTGTGTGGAAATTTTAAAAGGTATAACATATGTCTAATTGAAATGCCTGACGAAGATAGTGAACAGAATAAATGTTTGAAGCAAAGATGACCAAGAACATTTGAAAATGTAAAACACACACACATTCACACACACACATACACACATGCACACACATACACACACACAGAGAGAGAGAGAGAGAGAGAGAGAGATTGAGAGAACTGAGAGAATACCAAGCAGCAGAGATAGCAAAAAAATTATACCACGGTATATTATATTCAAACTGCAGAAAAGCAAAGGCAACCAGGCATGATGGCTCATGCCTGTAATCCCAGCACTTTGGGAGGCTGAGGTGGACAAATCACTTGAGGTCAGGACTTTAAGACCAGCCTGGCCAACATGATGAAACCTCATTTCTACTAAAAATACAAAAAAAAATTAGTTGGGCCTGGTAGCAAATGCGTATAATCCCAGCTACTCTGGAGGCTAAGGCAGGAGAATTGCTTGAACTTGGGAGGCAGAGGTTGAAGTTAGCCGAGATGGTACCACTGCACTCTAGACTGGGTGGCAGAACGAGACTCCATCTCAATAAAAAAAGCAAAGACAAAGAGTACAATTGAAAGGAACCAGGGGAATCCAGGGGTTACAGTGGAGGCACAACTTACCTGTAGAGGAACAAGAATTAGAATTACAGAGGGCTTGTTTTCACAAATGATGCAAGCAAAAAGACACTTCATTAAATATTTATATTGTTGTTAGAAAAAGAAAAACCCAGCAATCTATAATTTTACATTCAGTAAAATTAGTGAAAAGTGAATGAGAAATAAAGACTTTTGTGGACAATTTTAAGAGAATTCGTTGCTGAAAGATCTTCTCTTCAAGAAAGAAGAAAAAGTTCTTCGAGGAAAAGGAAAATTATGTAGGTCAGAAACACAAATCTGTATAAAGGAAGAGTATCAGAGAAAGAAAAAAATAAAGATAGGAGCTTGCTCTGCAGGCAGAGCAAGATGGCTGAATAGAAGCCTTCACTGATCACCCTCCACTCAGGCACACCAAATTGAACCATTATCCACACAAGAAAAGCACCTTCATAGGAACCAAAAATCAGGTTTGTAATCACAGGACCTAGATTTAACGTCATATCACAGAAAGAAGCACTGAAGTGATAGGAAGGAAAGTCTTTATTTGCAGCCCTCATTCCCCAGCAGCAAGTATGTGGTGTAGAAAGAGAATCTGTGAGCTTCAGAAAGAAAGAACATGGTGATGGGTGGACTTTGTATTGGAACTCAGTGCTGCCCTGTCACAGTGGAAAGCCACAGCAGCAGAACTCAGCTGGTACCCATTGAGAAGTATTTAGACCAGCCCTAGCAAGAGGGAAACCACTCAACTCAGCAGCTGAAACTTGAGTTCCGGCAAGCCTTGCCACCACAGGCTAAAGTCCTCTAAGGTTCTAAGTAAATTTGAAAGGCAGCCTTGGCCACAAGAACTGCAATTCTTGAGCAAGTTCTGGTGCTATGCTGGGCTTAAAGCCAGTGAACATGGAGGGCATGTGACCCTATGAGACATCAGCTTGAGTGACCACAGGAGTGCCTGCACCACCCCTTTCCCAACCTTAGGCAGAGCAGCTCACAGATCTGGGAGATACTGCTTTCCTTTTCTTGAGGAAAGGAGAGGATATAGTAAAGAAGACTTTGTCTTGCAACTTGGATACCAGCTTGGCTAGGGCACCAGATAGAGTCAAGAGGCCTGCATTCCAGGCCCCAGCTCCAAGATGACATTTCTAGAAACATCCTGGGCTAGAAGGGAACCTACTACTTTAAGGAGAAAGACACAATCATGGCAGTATTCATTATCTGCTGATTAAAGAGCGCTTGTCCCCTGAATAATCAGCAGAAACACCCAGGCAATACTTGCCGTGGGCCCTGGGTGACACTCAGAGACTATACGGCTTTAGGTGTGACTCAGCAAATTCCCAGATATAGTGGTTACAGGGAGAAACTCCTTAGGCTTGAGAAAAGGAGAGGGAAGAGTAAAGGGGACTTTGTCTTACAACTTAGGTATCAGCTTGGACATATTGAGTAGACCACCAAGTGGGCTGTTGGCATCCCTACTTCCAGGCTTTGGTTCTTGGATGGCATTTCTGGACCTGCCTTGGCTGAAAGAAAGTCCCCTGGCCTTAAGGAAGAGTCTTAGGCCTGGCAGCATTCACCACAACCTGACTGAAAAGCCCTTGGATGTTGAGTCAACATCAGTGGTAGCCAGGCAGTACTTTCCATAGGCATGGGGTGGTAATGGCCATAAAAAGAGACTCCTCTGCTTGTGGAAAGGGAGGGAAGAGTGGAAAAGACTTTGTCTTGTGGCTTCATGCCAGCTTAGCTGCAACAGAATAGCCTACTAGCTAGATTTCTAAGATTTCCATCTCTAGGTAGGCAGTGGTTCCAGGATATCATCTATGGACTTAACTGGCGCCAAGGAGAACTCAACCACCAGAAGGGAAGGATAAAAGCCTGCCTGACTTTGCCACCTGCTGATTGTAGAGCACTAGCGTCTTGGGCGAACATAGGTGGTAGCCAGGAAGTGGTTACTGTGGGCCTTGAGTGAGACCCAGTACTGTGCTGGCTTCAGGTCCGACCCAGCATAATCCCTGTGGTGGTGGACACAGGTGTGGTTATGTCACTCTTGCCCTAGCTCCAGCCAGTTCAGCACAGAAAGAGAGATTTTATTTGTTTGGAAGAAAGTGAAATAAGAGAGCAAATCACTGCATGCTAATTCAGAGTATTCTTTCGGCTGTTATAAAAGATCACTAAAGTAGGATCTCTACATGTCTGTAAGAGCTACAGCATCACTGGGCTTGGGGTGCCTCCTAATGCAGATATGACTTCATAAACCAAAAATTTTTAGATTACAACACCCAAGTCCATTGAAATACCTGGAAACCCTTCCCAAGAAGGATGGGTACAAACAAGGCCAGACTGTGAAGACTACAATTCACGCTTAACTTTTCAATGCCCAGAACCTTGCAAACATCCACAGGCTTCAAGATCATCCAGGAAAATATGACTTCACCAAATGAACTAAATAAGGAATTCAGAATTTTATCAGACACATTTAACAAAGAGATTGAAATAATTGAAAAGAATCCAGCAGAAACTCATGAGTTGAAATATGCAATTGATATACTGAAGAATACATCAGAGTCTCTTACCAGCAAAATGTATCAAGAAGAACAAAGAATTAGTAAACTTAAAGACAGGCCCCATGCAAGTCTGACATGTAGCAGGGCAGTCAAATCTTAAAGCTCCAAAATAATCTCCTTTGACTCCATGTCTCACATCCAGGTCACTCCGATGCAAGAGGTGGGCTCCCATAGCCTTGGGCAGCTCCACCCTGTGACTTTGCAGGGTCAAGCCTCCCTCCCGGCTGTTTTCATGGGCTGGCATTGAGTGTCTGCAGCTTTTTCAGGTGCATAGTGCAAGCTGTTGGTGAATCTACCATTCTGAGGTCTGAAGGATGGTGGCCCTCTTCTCACAGCTCCACTAGGAAGTGCCCCAGTGGGAACTTTGTGTGGTAGCTCCAACCCAACATTTTCCTTCTGCACTGGCCTAGCCAAGGTTCTCCCTGAGGGCCCTGCACCTGCAGCAAACCTCTGCCTGGACGTTCAGGCATTTTATACATCCTCTGAAATCTAGGCAGAGGTTCCCAAATGTCAATTCTTGATTTCTGTGCACCCTGAGGCTCAACACCACATGGAAGTTGCCAAGGCTTGGGTCTTACACCCTCTGAAGCCAGGACTAAGCTGTATCCTGGCCCATTTTAGCCATGGCTGGAGCAGCTGGGATGCAGGGCACCAAGTCCCTAGGCTACACACAGCAGAGAGTCCTTGGGCCTTGCCCACAAAACTATTTTCTTTCTCCTAGGCCTCTGGGCCTATGATGGGAGAAGCTGCCTTGAAGATCTCTGATATGCCCTGGAGACATTTTGCCTGTTGTCTTGGTGATTAACATTGGCTCCTCATTACTTGTGCAAATTTCTGTGGGCAGCTTAAATTTCTCCCCAGAAAATGGATTTTTCTTTTCTACTGCATTGTTAGGCTATACATTTTTCAAACATTTATGCTCTGCTTCCTCTTGAACACTTTGCTGCTTAGAAATTTCTTCTGCCACATACCCTACGTTATCTCTCTCAAGTTCAAAGTTCCACAGATCTCTAGGACAGGGGCAAAATGCCACCAGTCTCTTTGCATAGCAAGAGTGACCTTTGCTCCAGTTCCCAACAAGTTCCCCATCTCCATCTGAGCCATAAAAGAGAATAAGGTCCTGCCATTTGCAACAACACAGATGGAACTGGGGATCACTGTGTGAAGCAACATAAGCCAGGCACAGAAAAGCAATCATTGCATGTTCTCACTTATTTATGGGAGCTAAAAATTAAAACAATTATACTTACGGAGATAGAGGGCAGAAGAATGGTTACCAGAGGCTGGGTTGGTAAATGGGTACAAAAGAAAGTAGAATGAATAAGATATAGTATTGGGCAGTACAACAGGGTGACTAGAGTAAACAATAATTTATTATAAATTTTAAACAACTTAAACAGTGTAATTGGATTTTTTTTTGTAACATAAAGAAAGGATAAATGCTTCAGGTGATGGGTATGCCATTTACCCTGATGTGGTAATTATGCATTGTATGCCTATATCAAAATTTCTCATGTATTTCACTAATATATACATCTACTATGTATCCACAAAAATTAAAAAAGAAGTATACATTGACTTAAAATTAAAAAATGAAGGCACAAAGTATTTAATTTGTCCAATAAATATAACTAAAAGATACTTTTTTTAAAGTAATAATAACATGATTGCATTGGGTGATTTCAGCATACAGGTAAGTAAAATAAATGGTAGCAGCGTCATAAGATATGGGAGGGAGGCACTGAAACTGTTCTCTTTCATGGCACTTCACTAATGTGAAGTGGTACAGTGTTATTTGATGGTAAAATTAAATTAGTAAAATATGTACATTGAAAACTTCAGGGTAACACCTAACATTTTTTAAGTAGTATGGCTTATCTATGCTAAGATAAAACTAAATGGTAAGAAATGCTCAATCAAAATCATAGAAATCAGAAAAAGGGGAGGGCCAAAATACACATTTAATAAATGGAAAACATTACAAATATAGAAGATATTAATCCAATTATATCAATACTCATTTTATTTGGAAATGATATTGATTAAAAACAGGCATTGTCAGAGTAGATGAAATAAACAAATGACACCAATATGTTGTCTAAAAGAATCCCACTTTAACTACAAACACACAGATTGATTAAAAGTAAAGAGAAGAATAAAGATATACCAGGCTAACATTAATCAAAATAAAGCTATAGTAGCTATATTAATTTCACACAAACCATGTTTTTGAAGAAGGAAAATGATAAAACAAAAAAAAGGAGACATTACGTAGTGCTAAAGGAGTCAATAAGAAATAACAATCTTATGAACCTATGAGATGCTGGGGAAATCATTCCCACCCACTGGTGCATTAGTAATACAGGTTACTTTGGTTCAAAAAACGTATTTTCGCATATATAAACTTATGTATTTATTTTTATTTTTTAAATTTAAATTGTAATTGACAGATAACAATTATATATGTTTATGAGACACAATGCAATACTTTAATATATACTTACAATGTGGAATGGTTACATCAGTGTGATTAATAAATTGATCACCTCATACATTCTTTTGTGGTAAAACATTTAAAATCGACTCTTTTGGCAATTAGACATATACAATGCATTATTTGTCATAGTCACTATTCTGTGAAACAGATAGATAAAACTTATTTCTCCTGTTTAACTAAACCTTTGTACCCTTGGATCAACATCTCCCTTTTCTCCTTCCACCTGTCTCATGCAGCCTCTAGTAACGAGTATTTTACTCTGTACTTCTATGAGCTCAACTCTTTAAAATTCCACAGAAAAGTGAGATCATGTGGTATTTGTCTTTCTGTGACTGTCTTATTTCACTTAGTACAACGTCCTCCAGGTTGATCTATGATGTCACAAATAACAGGATCCCCCCTGTCGTTTTAAAGCTGAATAGTATTCCATTGTGTCAATACATCACATTTTGTTTATTCATTCATCTAATGGTGAACATTGAGGTTGCTGCCATATCTTAGCTATTGTGAATATGGAATAATGAACAGGGGAGTCCAGAACCCTCTTAAACATGTTAATTTTACTTCCTTTGGATACATACCCAGTAGGACTGCAGGATTAGAAAGTAGTTCTATTTTTAGTTTTCTGAGGAACCCCCATATTGCTTTCCATAATGGTTGTATTTAAACTATTTGTCTATCATAGTTACCTATTGTATAGATTATTCAATATTGACTAAAAGAGTTAAAATATCAGGGCCTTAGGCCAAGTTTTTATTCTCCAAGTCCTTCTTTCTTTCTGCTCTTCCATTTTGTGTTTTCTTTTAACATAAGACGGACGATTGCCCCTATTCTGTTAGTATAACACAACGATGACAGAAAAACAGTATAATAATTATTATTATCATCATACAAATCTACATTTAGTCTTATCTCTCAGCGCATGTCACTTGGAAGGAGACTGAATGAATAATGCTTGTATATTTTTTTCCCATGAAGCAGTATTAAAGGTACATATTACCTTGTTTCCAATAAGAGATCTTTCCCCAGTTAGTTTCTCACTGGACTCATAAGAAATGTAGGAAAGTATAGTATTGAGGAAACCTGATATTTTTTAGGTCTCTTTCCCTTAGGAAATAAATGTAATAAGCCCAAGATGAATGAACAGAACCAGGCGTAAAATTCCTGCTGTCAATCTGAAAAAATGGAAAGCAGGCTTATTCATATTTTCTGAAGTTTTCATTTTCTTCCAAGAAATGTTGTTAATAGCTCATAATGTGACAGATAAATATGATTTATATTATAATTGTCAGTACTAACATAAAACCTCTCAAGGCCCGTAGAAACAGAATAAATTGTATTATTTTCAGGGTATCATTGTGGGTATTTATGCAGTCTATTTGAGCTGTGCATTTGCAAGATTAAAATATATTAACAATTCATAATTTTTATTCAGTTCCTGCAATGTGCCAGAAACTGTGCTAAGGGCAGTGAAATGGGGAATGGTGTCTTCCCACCAACTGGGTCTTAGTACCTCATTGTCCACTAATCTGGACTTTTAGTATCTGATTATAGAATAAAAATTCAGGTCACTGCATCAGCCTACAATAATAATAACTGACATTGTTATTGAAACTGATCTGGTTTCACATTTAATCTAAGCCCTTTTGCAATACATCGTTGCATCAAGTCTTTGCATCAACTCGCCACATGAAGAGATGAAGATAAAAGAAGTTTAACTTTGTTAAAACTATTGAGTGTACAAAAAAAAAATAAAAAGAACATTTTGTCTCCTTTTGTTTTGCTTGTTTTCTGATGCCAGAGCAAGCTACTGTAGAAGAGACGAGAGGATGCTGCTGACCCTGCCTCACAGAAAACACCAAGGCCAAAGCCAAACTGTGTCTGCCACTGTTTCTGTCTTAACTCTGTGTATCTTCCCATTGACCCATTTATATTAAAGGCCACCACTAGCAACAGCAGTGATGGGCTCTGTGCCCCAATGGCAAACTGCCTAATGTCTTAGGCCCTCAACTGATCTCTTACGTAGCCACAAAGATGTAAGCACAGTGATGGAAACTTGGAGTAATACAGTGTGATAGATCCAATGGTCATAACCAAAAGTAACATTTATTAAGCATTTATTATACTCAGTGCACTGTGTATAGTACTTTATGTTTGTTACCTTATGTTCTTTCCTATGGCCCACAGCTCAGCAAGTAGGCATCATTATTCCAGGCTGACCAGTTGTAGAACTGAGACTCAGATAGGGTAAATAATTGGTGCAAGTCCACACAGCAAACAAGTATACAGGTTTTGGCCAGTGTAGACTACCTTGAAAGCGGTGCTCTTCCAACTTACTCTGATACTAACTTGTGTATTGGAATTGAATTTGGATGCTAGCTACCCTGAGTTAGCCTCATATTTACAGGTATAAAGGCGCAGTCCCCAATGAGACTGCCCCCACTTTACATGTGAACCACAAGTAGGATCATCAGGACAACGAAACATAAATCCAGGGTGTTCACACTGGTACAGTAACCCACTAGAATGGAAAGTGCTATACTTATGATTAGATTACTGTAAAGGATACAAATCAGGATGAACCAAATGAAGAGGTATATAGAGTGGGGTCTGAGAGGGTCCTGAATACAGAGCTTCTGTGCCCTCTCCCCATGGAATTAGTTTGCATCACCCTGCTAGCATATCAATGTGTTCACCAGCCAAGAAGCTCCACTAAGTCTTAGTATCCAGAGTTTTATTGGGGTTTCATTAAATAGGCATACTTGGTTGTATAACCTGTCATACAATTGAACTAATTCTCCAGTTGTCCTACCCTCTATGGCAGTTAGACTGGGTCAAATCCCTAATCCTCTAATGGCATGGTTAGTCTTTTTAATGGTAGGTTCTTATCCTGATTCATCCTCTTATCATAAATTCAGGTGTGGCTCACAGTACTCATGAATAACAAAACAGCTCTTATTACTCAGGAAATTCCAAGGATTTAGTCTCCCTTTGAGAAAACAGGGAAAAGAGCCAATCAAATTATTTATTACACAGCACTACTTTTCATGATTTCTCCATAACAGACACTCATCCTCCTCCACAGCAGCCTCGTTTTTAAAACATTAGAGTTAGCAAGCTTTAGTGAGATTCTCATAATCACCCTGCAAGGTTGGCAGGGTCATTTTCACTAGTTAATGTAAAGAAACTGACCCTGTGCATTCACTTTCTGTTTGGATTCTTACATGTAGGAATCGTATGGGTGGCTAGAGAGAAAGGTGGGTCAGAAAGGGGGATGGAGGCTTTTTTCACTCTCTTATCAAGCTTTGCCCTTATAGAGTTGCATTTCCTGGGACAGCCCCCCACTCCTCCACCGCCCCAGGCTGCCCTAACTCTGGCAACCAGCCTGAAGCCTGCAAAACAGGAAGCACTGCATGTGGGAAACAGATGTCCAATGGGCTATGAATATGTGGGTCTTTTAGCAGCTTTCTTTGTCATATACTCTGGCCCGGTTGGCAGACATAGGCTATGAGAGCACCTGATGTTAGTGATGATCAAAACCTTTAAACTCATTTTTATGAAATCTCAGACCCTGTTCCCTGGCATATGCTTTGAGGATAATAATAATTTTACTTCTCCCACTGCAACTAGTACTTCTAGTTAATTCTATCAAGTATTCACTATGTGACAGTCACTGTTCTTAGTGCTTCATTAACTAATTTAATCCTCTAAACCACGCAATAATGAAAGTACTATTTTATTTTCTGATTACAAAATATAGTTACTCAGAGGTTTACCATCTTGCCAAAGCTTGAACATGTAGTAAATATTGCAGTTGTGACTCATGTGTCACACTCCAGGGTTTTCTTTTGACCACCATGGGCTCTATGCCCTTCATCTGGTAACCTCTATAGATAGTATCACGGTGTACATTGCTGTATTTTAATTTGTTGTATCCTACTTGCGCCACCTGACTGTAAATTCCTTGAAAATTGATGGGCAGAAATCTTACTTTATTCATTTTAATATTATTTTACAAATGTACTAATACAAGATTTATTGAGTTATTGAGCACTTCTCATCAGCCAATGCTGTAAGTAGTACAGATACAGTGATGACTAAAAGAGACAAAATGCTTATAGAACAGCAAGGCGGCCAGTATAAGGCTTGGGTAGAGCCAGCAAGAAAGGCCATGTGAAGGTGGAGAGAAAGGGAGGCAGGGGCCAGATCATAGAAGCATTTATAGACTGTGATATGAACTTTGGGGTTTATTCCAAGTACCATAAGAAGCCACTGAGTCTTCTGGGCAAATATTTAGTAATATAGTTTGGATCTGTGTCTTCACCCAAATCTCAAGTCAAGGTGTAATCCCAGTGTTGGAAGTGGGGTATGGTGAGAGGTGATTGGATCATGGGGGTGGATTTCCCTTTGCTGTTCTAGTGATAGAGTTATCATAAGACCTGGTTGTTTAAAAGTGTGTAGCATTTCTTTCTCCCTCTCTCTTTCTCCTGCTCCAGGCTTGTAAGAGGTACCTGTCGACCCTTTGCCTTCTACCACGATTGTAAGTTTCCTGAGGCCTCCCCAGCCATGCTTTCCGTTCAACTTGTGGAACCGTGAGCCAAGTACACCTCTTTATTTTATAACTTACCCAGTCTCAGGTATTTCTTTATGGCAGTGGGAGAATGGACTAAGACATTTGGCAACATCAAATTTCCTTGTGTACTCTGCAGAATAGACAATAAGGGGCCATGTGGGAGTGGGAGGCATTAGGCCCTTAACTGGTTAATGCTATAGCCAGGTGGCAGGTGATGGGGACCAGGTAGAGATGGAAGTGATAAAAAGGGTTTGACTTTGGGATACACACAATTGGGAAGGTAGAAATGACAAAGTTGGTTTATGGTTCAGGTGTAAGGAACAAGAGAAAAGAAGAAATCAAATTAACTATTGGCCTGAATTACTGAATGAATGAATGATAGCAGATCAATGAAGATGTGAGCAGTGGCATTAGTCTTTTTGGAGTCCATGGTATAGGCATCCTGGAATCATCACATTAAAGTAGTTTCAGGTATTGAAACTTAACTCTCAATCACTATTTATAAGCTCATTGGCCATAGGAAAGCGATTTGCCATGGCTGAGCTTCAGCTTTTTCTGACAATGAATTGAGAAAGGCAAAAATAGACAATTGTACCTTCTTCACAGAATCTGTGTGTGACTTTCTGAGAGTTATAAGAACATTAACAGTGAAGTAACTGGGAAAGGAAGGCAAGGTATGCTCTTGATCCAATATTCTGTGTAGGGAGAAAAAAGAACAAGGTCATGGGCAAATGGTATAAAAAATGTGTATGTGCCGACTGCATTTGCTGAAGAGCCACGCTGGGCCAAGTAGTATGCACCACGCCTGAGCGGTAAGCTGGGTACCGGTGTGGGGAGTGGGGATTGACTTAGGAGGTGAATGACTGAGTCCAGAGGGTGTCAACTGACGGCTGAGATAACGGAATATTGAATGAAATCACCAAAGCTGAAACCGAGACTGTCCCCTGTCTTTCTGGGAGGTGGCCCTACTGAACACACTGGTGGCAGAATGCCCACTGTGTGGTTAGAGTATTTCAACAAGGATTATAAATTCCTTCGTGACTGGGATTTCTGGGCCAGTCTCAGGCAGGGTTAAAGACTATGTGGGAAAACACTTTGTTATGATAACAACAGCTTTTTCTTATTGAACAAGAGCACCACACCAGGAATGGCTTGCCCTTTTTTTTCTAAAAATTCTCTAGAGACCCCTCAAGGTAGGTTTTATGATTCTCATTTTACAATAGGCAATCTGAGGCTCAAAGAGGTTAAGCTAATTTGCCCAAGGTCACAGGACTTCTACCTGTAGAAGGCAAGGTTCTAACTCAGGCGTGTTTGGCTTCCAAGCCCCACTTTTTCATTTTACCACACTGCCTCTTGGCTATTGTACACACGTTATATTTTATCATTGCACTCCGGACTTCCCAGGCTGTCCCACCTTTTCATCTCTCTCCTAATCACCCCTCTGGAAACCAAGCTGCTCCGTTTAATGAAACACAGGCCACTGTGATGTGAGGCAGACCCAGGGGGCCCTAACGATGAGATGAGGCTCCAATCTCTGCAACAGAGGATGTGGAAACCAACCTTCCTCATTAATCATGTGATGTCAGCGATTCCACAACCTCACATACTTCAGAGCCAAATAAATTCCAAACACAGTTATCTCCACCAAGAGCAATTAGCAAGACACACATTTAATATTGGGGAAGCAAGTCAATGTCAGGGGTGAGCTGTCTGCAAGACTTTGTTTTTTCCTGCTTTTGGACATGTAGAGGGGAGGCCTGTCCTCCCACGGAGGGCTTGGAAAGACACAGATTTCATTTCTCTGCAGCTTCTGTACTCTTTCTTTGCAATTGGCCTGCTGCCAGGAACGCTAATCTGATTTCTCAGGCAGACTAATCCTATTTCTCCCTCAGGTGCAAACTTCCCCTCTCTAATCATTCTCCTCTTTGCACCTTTAATTAACAAGCTGCTGTGATCAAGCAATCAAATCTTTTAAGCTCACAATATTATTACATTTTAAATACTGATGAAAGTACATATACAGTAAGGTGTTGGTGTTCTTTTCCCTCTGCGCAGCCTTGGCTCCCTTAATGCACAGGGTGGGAAGCAACTTTGATTTGGGGGAGATACACATGGATTTTGAAAATTTTCATAATTCTGATATCAGTTTCAATCTTTCCTTCTGGTTCCAGTAACCCACTTTCTAAATGGCAAAGAGTAAAAATTCCAGTATTTTTTATCCCAGGAGCCATAATCATATAGACATTTTATTAGCACTTAGCAGTTTACAAAGCTCTCACCTTTATTAACTCAAGGTTCTGACTGCTGCTTCTCTCTCCAGGCTCCTCTTGTACCATTCTCCTCTCTTTATCACTCACTTGCTCCCAAGGCATGACCCCAGCCCCATGGTTCCTCTTTCAGGTCCTTGAATGAGCCATTTTTTCTCTTCCACAGGAATTTTGCTGCTCCTTCCACATGGAAGTCTCCCACCCCCACCCCCCTGCATTTTCCCCAACCCTTTCATCTAGGCACCTCATACTTACTCTACCGATTTTACTTCAAACTTTCCTTCCCCAGGAAGTTTTCCTTGACCTCCCAACAAATCAGTTTCCTTTGCTCTGCATGATTCTTTTTGCCTAGGATTTTCCACCACAGCAATTATCTCAGTTGCAGTCACATACTCTATTTATTCCATGTCCTTTGAGTGGTTAATTAATGCCTGCTGCACCTACAAGATTCTAACCTCTGGAGAGGGTGGCCTTGATTGTTCTTTTTATCATTTTATTCATAGCACATAGCACAGTGTCCTACATATTGTGGATACTCAATATTTATTCACTAAACAATCTTACTCAATAGTAAACCCATTATGTGCATCTGCAGATGCCGAAATTGAGGCTTAGAAAGGTAATGGAACTTTCTAGACTTCTCTTTGTTAGTCAGTGTTAGATACTGTCAGCAAATACAAACCATAGTTTGCTCACACACAGACACACACACACCACACTTTCCTTGATGTGAGGGTGAATAAGGAATGTTCTAATTATTTTGCACTCTGTGTGTAGAAAAAATATGGAACTCTAAGTCTATGTTGTACATTGCTGATTGCAAGTTTATTGCAAAATTTGGGGTGAACCTCTCTGATCTCCAATGGTCTGAAACACCATATTTGTGTGCCAGTGATTATCATGTTGTCTCTGGACAGCAGACTCATCATTTTATACTCTGCTTTGTGGTGCTGGGGCTATGACTTGCTCAACTAAACTTCTGTTTTGAAAATTGGCTTCTTTTTAATCATCTGCCAATAGAGACTTCTGGAGGAAGACCAAAAGAAAGGGGAGAAAATGGAGGTGTATCCCTTCCTGTTTGCTCTATATGCCTGTTTTTGCTTCTTGTGCTTGTGAGTGTCACTGGTGCAATGGTTCTTCATGAAGAGGTGAGCAGTTTATTCAAATTTGCAGTGTTTCTAACACTCATGAAACAAGCCACATTACCTACCCTTAGAGATACCAGCACTAGCTGGCCAGTATACCTCACCAGCTGTCTCATTCCCAGATCTATGACCTTCCTCCTCTGAGTTTCTAAGTTTTAATAATTTCAACTTTTTATTTTTGCTCCTGTTTTTTTTCATTCCAAATATTCAAAACCTGGTTAACAATAATTATATATATTTTTTCTCTTTTAAAATAACTGGCATGATTTCTATCACCCCATTAGATCCTGACTGATAATATTGATATGAATAAAGTCTATCACATAAAATTGTTGGGGTAATTAAATAATAATATGTAAAAGACATTTTTTACATTACAAAGGGTTATGTAGTTACACTTGTTCATTGTTATCCTGAAGACTAAGATCTAGTCATTGCATGTGTGACTCCAGATATTAGAACTGTAACTATTTTGTCAATGCTACTGGGAGGTATATTTGCTTCCAGCATAAAAATAAAAGTTGTTGTATTTATAGCTGTTCATAAATTAAGATGATTCATATGACCTCATGATTTTCTAACAAGTGAAGGAATTCCAGGCAAAGCTGGTTATAACTTCTATAATTTCTTTGCATATTGCATGTGAACTATGTGTTTGAGTCTGTGTGTCTGTCTGTGTGTGTGTTCATTAATTCAGTCAAAAGTTAGCTATTTAATACCTACTGTGTGTATGTCTTAGTCCATTAAGTATTGTTATAACAGAATACACATCACTGGGTAGTCTAATAAAAAAAGATTATTGGCTTACAATTCTGGTAGCTGGAAAGTTCAAAATTGGGCATCTGCATCTAGCGAGGTCCTCAGGATTATTCAACTCATGGCAGAAAATGGAAGAACTCATGGTGGAAAGTGGAAGGAGAGTTGGCATGTGCAAAGAAATCACATGGTGAGAGAGCAAGGAAAAGAGAGAAACCCTCAGGAGAGCATTAATCTATTTAAGATAAATCTGCCCCCATAATTCCAACACCTCGCATTAGGCCCCATCTCCCAACACCACCAAATTGGGGATCAAACTTCAACATAAGTTTAGGCAGGAACAATGAAAGCATAGTGGTATATTACTGTATAAGGCACTTAAGATAGTGAACAGGACATATGCTATGCCCATAAGCAGCTTACATTTTACTAATAGAGATAAAACAAAATGCCAGTGAATATAATAATATAGATTAAGGGACATTGTAGAGGTAGATATATATTGTTATGAGACCATATAGAGAAGGCAACCTACCCCCCGAATGTGTAAAATTTAGCCAGGCAAAGAAACTTTGTGTTCAGGGAATTAATAATGTCAACTGAAGAATCAGGTGGTTTATGAATTTGGAGTGGAGAGTTTTATTTCTTACAAGAAGTTGTGTCCTACAAGCTGGCCAACCTGCAGGCTGGGAGGCATAGCCTCTGGTAGAAACTGAAAGCACTTTGAAAAAGAAAAGATGAGACAGGAATTTACATAGAATGTGTTGGCTAAGTGTACATATTCCACAGCTTACAGGAGGAGCTACGATATTCACAAAGCAGGGGCACACGTGCATAGTAAACCAACAGTGATATTACATGTGTCCCATATTCACTCTGGGTTGGAGACTTAACATTTAAATGCATTAAAATTATGTTTTATATGTCAAAAGGTGAAGCAGAGGATACAGAGGCACCATGTGTGCAGCCCCTTTAAACCAGCCAGAACTAGTCCACAGCTCATGGTCTTTTATCAGAAAGTAATGCTGACAGATGTTTGTCGAAACCACAAAAAAGGAAGGGGGAATGGAAAAACTTAAACAAAAACAAAAACAAAAAAAACTACTTTCTGTTTAACCCTTAGGATAAAATGTCCAACGGTGGTTAGTGAAGAAGTTGGTATAGCAAGGCACGTCAGACCTTCTCTGTGGGTCCCCCTTGGCCAAGAGGGGGTCTCTTCTTCTGTTTGGGAGGCTTAGGATTTTATTTTTATTTCTCAAGAATAAATGACAACACGTGGATGTAGTGGGTTTGGGGTTGATGAGTTGGGGACAAGAGAAGATTGGCTAAGTGAGTACATGAGATATTAAAGAGGAGCCTGAATGTGAAATAGAGAAAAAACCAGGTTCTGTACTTCCTGTATTTACTTCTCTATTTCTAATGCGCTTGGTTGGATTCCAATATGCCTTACGGCTAAGTGTGCCCAGATTGTGGCAATGAGAAAGATGTGCATATGTGCATCTTAATTGAGCATATCAGAGTTTGACTTGCATTTCTATAGAAAACAACTATTCTAATCTTTCTATTTCAGCTTTTGCTCTTCCTACAAGGATTAGGTAGAAATTGCATAATCAGATATGAAAGTATACAAGATTGGCTGAGACAGCCCCTATCTGGAGAAAAGGTATCTATGATAATTCCAAATGTCTAGTTGAGGCAACTGAAGTTTGGAGGGGTTCTGTGGATTGCCTTGGGTTAGCCAAATAATTCAGATGCAAAGGAGAAGCACCCCTTTAAATTCTGGTGTTAATATACTTTTCACAATATTATAATGTTGGAATTGCATGCTTGTTTTTCGAAACATTTTAAATTATTTTGTAAGGTTTTCAGACTTTCATTTCAATGCAGAATCTTTGTGTTTCATATCTCATTTTTGTTATTAAGAGTTCATTATTTTTCTGATTTTGCTGAAGAGCACAGGGGAATTTCAGGTTTAGGAAACGTCTTGGTTGCCACTTGTGCTTAACACATCTAAACTGTTGAAAGTAAAAGTAAACAGTCATATCTGAGGATCTGCTCTGATTTTCTAAGGCAGGGCAACCCCTTGCAGTTTGCAGGCTTTAGCAGGTAAGGCTAAAAGGAAGTATGTTAAGTAGCAGAATAAGGTGACTAAAGAAATATCCAAGATACAATGTGGACATTTCTAGAAAAACAGAAATACAAAATTATTACATTTTCACCCTTATTTACATATTCAAGTAAATACACAATTTACATCTTTAACCCATACCTGAAGCAATTTCTATTTTTGCGTCCTACGCAATTTTTAAATTCTTTTACTCTTTTGATTAACCCAAGAATGACAATGATCTCAACAGTGATATCTTCTCACTTATGTGTGGTTGTGGGTTAGAAGAAAATCATATCAAACAACATTTTCACCTTTCTTGCTATTGTTTGCTGTTTGCAAAAAGTCTTAAAATATATCCACTGGGGGCAAACAAATTTGTGCTTTGGTGCAAAAGTAATCGTAGTCACTTTTTTTGTCACTGCTATCTGAAGGGTTAAATCACAAATGACTGTCAGTATCAAAAAAGTTGAACATTAAACAATGCAGTGTTCCAACAGGTAGGTGGAGATCAATTGGGAAACCCTGAGTTGATAATACCCAGGGCAATGCAGGCAGTTGCTAGAAGCATGGTTCTTGTACAGGGGCTAGACTCTAGCCAAAGGCAGGGGTTGGGATAGCAAAGGGAATATTCTGATGTTAGGGAGAACTGAGTTAAAGATTTGTACATATGCAGTAACAAGGCAAAAGTCAGGTAATCTAAATGGGGCACGGAGCTAATCAAGTGTTATGAGTGGCATCAAATGGTCTCTCCCAGCGCATGAGACCAGAGTGCTTTAAAAAGCCTTCATGCCCTCTATCAAGGCTTACCTTAGAAAGCAGGAAACGGTCATGTCTCAGTGAAGGAATCAGGTAGTTGCAGCTCTAAAGAAAGAAATAAGCTGAGACAGGAAATCAAAAATGGAATAGAGCTGTGCTAATGTTAGTCAAGAATAAGGTTAAACAGGGCAGTAGATACTGTTCAGCAAGGACAGCTCCAACAATCTGACTTAAATTTATGGCATACACATATAACTAACACATACAAACACGTGCACACATAATACATACAGATATAGCATATACAGATACAAATATGCATATATAATACATACATAGAGCATACACATACAAATGCATGCCTAATACATACACATACACACATATTTACACATAAAAATAGATATATACATAGCTGGGCATATACACATATATGTGCATACACATGTACCCATATATGCATGTGCATGTTGCACATATGTATTCATGTGGATATACACACACATATGCACACATATATACTTATGAACACATATATACATATATTTAGTAACATCAAAGGTGGTTTGCAAATATGGTAACATTTACCTAATTTTCTATAGTTTTCAAGTGTTGTCAGATACATTATCTCATTTACTCAGACAATTTGGATTAAGCTCCCTTGGTGTTGTAGTCACCAAATCCTCTTTCATAGGGATATGGAATAAATCCCTATGATTTATTCCATGATAATGGAATGATGGCTAGCATGAAGCTAGCCAAGCTGACCAGTGCCAAGGGCAACTTCAATTACAGGCTGTAAGGAGTGAACAGGAAAACAAATCTGTTCTAGGATGAAGACATATAATCGTGCCAGAAAAGTCAAATATGTCACTGGGTGCAAAGAAGGAAAGCATTATCCAAAAAGAGAGCGATCATAAGAGAGATGGAGAAGGAAACAGTTAAAAAAAAAAAAAAAACCAGGCTAGAGAAAGATTATTTATGTCATGTCTTGTCTTAAGCTGGAGCCCTATTGGGCCACATAGTGTCCTATTTTATGGGTGGCTAGCTACAAAATTTGTGTGTGCATGGATGTGAGTTAAAGGTCCAAAGTTTGAAGCATACAGTGTTTCTCATCATTTATCATAAGTAGGAATAGGGTTTCGTAATCTCAGTTTCATATTGGAATCAGCTACATGAGTCAAAAGTGACACATACAATTACAAATACCTCTGATTTTGAGCCAAATCCCATTAGAATTTGAGGCTTAAGAAACTTTCCTTGAAAGGAAAAGTGGTGGGCAGCCTCCTTTTTAAGTCTATTACAGCAAGGTGCTCTTCCATTGAAGTTGAGGGAAGATGAAGATATATCATGCTTAGACATAGTCATGGCTCATTAACCACTGAAACTTGTATTACTGGTAAAATGCATACTGTACATCATCAGACTAAAATAAATATTCTTCCTAGGAAATGGATTGGATAAATCATTTATTGGGAAAAATGAGTCATTTTGAAGAAAAAGAAGTCACTTCTCAGCTAACACACATACTTCATTAGCTGAATGTAATAATGGAATTATATGAGCTTTCAAAGTTGAACAGGCTGTCAGGGGAGCACCTCTCCAACTTTCCATTTTTAACAAGCAAGGGAACTCAATTGCAGAAAGGTCCGGTAATTTACCTTACATAACACAATAGGTTAGTAGAGTATCTCAGACCACAGTCCAATTATTTATTCTAAGTTTAAGCCAACTGCTTCTCATAATTAATGTGAGGAAAAGAGAACATATTTGCAATTTTTCTTAGAGCTCAGGACCACTAACTTACTTAAGTCTCATAAAATTAGCCATAGAAAATATCTTCATCAGTCATTTAAACACAGCTTATGGTTTATTCAAGACCAAAATTTAACAATGGATGAATATATCTCCATTGGGAGGCTGCATTGTTTTTATTGATAATAAATATCCCACTTTAGCTACTTCCCTACAGAACTTTCACACACAGGACAACTACATTTTATGCCACTAAATGTTGTTTATACCAGGCTCACCTTTCGCTAGCCCTGTGACCATCAGCAAGTCCACTTCTTAAAGATTCTGTTTTCTTATCAGATGGAGTTTCTCACCTCTTCCAACTTCTTTAAAAGATTGCTGTAAATAGCAAACAAGATAATGTGAAAACACACCATAGCTTTCACTCCAATAGTTTTAAATAAATAGTTTCAGTGCATATATATACCAAAAATTACATCAATGCAAGAGACTGCAGAAGAAAAGAGCATTATTTACTATTGAATTTAGGTTGGAAATTATGATAGTGTAACATTGGAAACTCAAAGATACACATGGGTGAAGGGTATTATATACATTATTATATATTACATAGAAAACTATATTATAATATATAATATATGTAATAATATTTAATATATGTAATAATATATTATATATAAATGTTATAATGTATTACATATTATATATTTATATATTATATGATATATCATATATTACATCATATATATTATATATTTATATATTATACAAACACATCGGTGAAAGGCCTAATATATATAATAATATATATTATATTAATCCAAATTGAGTAAATGAGATAATATATCTGACAACACTTGCAAACTATAGAAAATTAGGTGTTACTAGATTTGCAAAACCATCTTTGATGTTACTAAATATATGTGTTCATAAGTATCTATGTGTGCATATGTGTGTGTATATCCACATGAATACATATGTGCACATGCACATGCCTATATGGGTACATGTGTATGCACATACATGTGTATATGCGCAGCTATGTGTATATCTATTTTATGTGTAAATATGTGTGTATGTGTATGTATTATGTATATAATATATATAATATATAATATAAGACAAGGTATGACATAAATATAATGTATATAATATATAATATATTAATGACCTAAACATAATGTATATATGTATATATACATATAATGTATACATTATATATAATGTATATATACATATATACATTATATATAATGTATATATACATATATACATTATATATATGTATATATACATATATACATTATATAATGTATATATACATATATACATTATATAATGTATATATTATATAATATAATGTATATAATGTATATATAATATAATGTATATTATATTTATGTCATATCTTGTCTTAAGCTGGAGCCCTATTGGGCCACATAGTGTCCTATTTTATCGGTGGCTAGCTACAAAATTTATGTGTGCATGGATGTGAGTTAAATGTCCAAAGTTTGAAGCATACAGTTGAAGCATAAAGTTGGAGAGATGCTCCCCTGACAGCCTGCTCAACTTTGAAAGCTCATATGTTGTATATTATATACATTATATATAATATATAATATACATAATACATTATATATAATATATATTGTATACATAATACGTAATATACCCTTCACTCATGTGTTTGTATAATATATATGTGTGTTTATATATATTATGTGTATATATAATATATATCACCATATATATGTACATATTTTTGTGAATGTGTGTATAGCGTGTGTGTATGTGTGAGTGTGTGTGTGTGTGTGTGTGTGTATTTGAGCTCACAAAGAAGCCAGGAAGCTTTTTTCTTTTAAAATCTTGGTCTTTGTCTCTAACAGTTTAAGAGTTTTAAATCTAGTAGGACAAACAAATCAAGCATATTGAAATAAGAATGTAAACTAAGCAAAATGCTTGTGAAAGCCCAGAGGACTTATTAATTAAAACAAAAGATGAAGGAAGTCTTCACATAGGAGGTGACATTTTAAATGTCTTCAAGATACTGGACAAAAAAAAATACTAAAGATCTTTCAAGGCTGTGTGAACAGATGGTATAAAAACAAAAAGGAATAAAAATTTCTTAGCAATCAATCTGTTATGTCTAGAGTTGTGGATGCTGGAACAGACACAATGTGAAAGGAGACAAAACAGAGTACAAAACATATTAATATGTTTTAGGTACAAAACATATTAATATGTTTTAGGTACAAAACATATTAATATGTTTTAGGTACAAAACATATTAATATGTTTTAGGTACAAAACATATTAATATGTTTTAGGTACAAAACATATTAAGGCACAGGAACTACATTAATAAGGTGATTCTGGTATGTAAATATTAAATAGTTATACATATATTAGTGATCCATGCCCAACTATTCTTTTATGGATACGGGAGTGTGATTCTTAAAATATGGATACCATTGAGATCATGGCTTTAAATTAATATTCTCATGCAGGGATTTAACTGCAGGGCTAAGGAACTGAAGTTTATTCTTTAGCAGCATGAAGCAGAGCAATTTCCTTTTTTGAACTGGGACTAATGTGCTCGTTGAAGTCTAAGTTTACATTCATCCTTTGATAGCGAAATCATGACTCATTCTGAAGTATATTGTCCATTAGATAGTACTATGTCTCCTTTATGAGGTCCTGCACTATTTCAGCCATTTAACAAGATGACACTCCCCAGTTTAACATTCTCTACATTTCCTGAGCACCTGCTCTGTGACAGGCACTATGTTGAGTTTTGGGTACATAGAGCTGAATATGAGGATGAGGGTTTTGTCTCACTATCTTCAGTCTTGCAGAGGATGCACCTATAGGAACAAATAAACCCAGCAAGTATTTTCAGTCTACGAACAGGAAATGTGAGAAGACTCTCCTGGTAGAAGAAGGAAGCCAGGTGCTTGAGTCAGGCGAGAGAAGGACTAAGAGAATCTGAGCAGGGCAGGAATGCTAGGTATTTGAGTTGGAAGCACTGGTCAGGCATGGTCGAATCCCTTGCCAAGTTAATACAGGAAAGGAAAAAATATCTAAGTGGATCCCATGCCATAGAAAGTGCATGTGAGTAAGAGGTGGATGTGGTAAATGTTTCATGTGCCAGAAACAAGTTTAATGTGGGGATTAGAGAGGGCTGCACTTGGTATACAGTGGTTCTCACAGATGTTCTGTGATGCTCTGAGCCTTTACTTCTCTACAGGTTATGTTCCTCTGAGCTCAACCTCTGACAGCCCCTTTTATCACATGTTTTTATAATTAGATGCCAGGAAAAATTTAAGTAGGCGTCTTTCTTCCTGCTAATCAGAATTACGTTGCTTACTGTGTTTTACTCTTTGCCACGGTAACCAGGAGGTGTAGAGACTAATTTGGTGCTTCACTAGTCCTCTTGGTTATCATATTCCATTCTTTCTGTTTTCCACAGGTCTAATTTCTATTTACATTTTCTTTAATTTGGTTTATGCATCACATTAGAGCATGGCTGGAGATAGTTTCCCCATGGTCTCTTTGCCACACCCATGTGCATACACACACACACACACACACACACATTAGGGCTCTTCTGTAAACTTCTACACTGGATGCCTTATTATTTCCAACAGACTTTAGGAGAAGTGATTGAAGCAGAAGTGACTTAGGAGAAGTGATTGAAGAGAAGTGATTTATGCCTTTGCCTACTTACTTAAGGGTTCATTAAATGACTGCCAAGCTCCTAAATTCCAGGCATTGAATTAGGACTGGGAACACAAGGATTAATGGGAAAACTTTCTTGCCATCTCGGTATGAACAGTTGACCAGACCAGAGAAGAAGTGTTAACTAATCACTAAAATACGATGGATTTTGCGCAAAAGGAGGTATAGAGCTGAGAAGGGAACTTGCCATTTTTGAACAATCCAGCTGGTTGTTCTACAAATGCTATTTTAGGTCAAGTTCAACCTGAGCTTTCTTAGGCAGATACTATTCGTTTCATTTTACTAATAAGGGCGCCAATAGTTTAGGTAAATGATCTTATAGATAGAAACTGTGTGTGTGTGTGTGTGTGTGAGAGAGAGAGAGAGAGAGAGAGAGAGAGCGCACATATTCAAACTTGAATCTTTCTGATTTCAAAGGTAATTTTCTTTATTTTTCTGAGTTAGGCCAGGCTTCAAGAAGGAAGATACTACAGATTTTTGTTCTCCACAGAATATGAGTTTTACCCTTTAGCCAATGGCTTGTAGAATCTCTTTGACCTTGGCTAAGTTAACTAAACATTTCAGTATTGGCATCCTTGTCTCCAACAGGGAAGCAGTACCCAGAGATTTGTTGTGAGGATTAAATGTGGTAATGTATGCAAAATGTTTAGTAGTGTACTTACCACTTGGGAAGTGCTCAATAAATAACACTTCAAACAATAACTTATTAAATAAAATGAGCTCAATAGGCAAAGGAAGATAAAAGTTATCAGGAAAAAATAACTTGAATAACTGCAAGATATGGTAGCTATTCTGGGAAATTTTTTTTTAAAGATAAAGAAAATCCTCAAGGAAGTGACATGCAATATACAGTCACTAGTTGGGTTCACAATGTTTTTTCCAAGTTAATCTAAATTACAAATCAAAACTATGTTCAAGAGAAAAGAGATTTGTGTTGCATATATTAGACAGGGATGTGATTTCAGGAAGAGGTTATTTTGTAGGGAGATTGATCTTTTTAAACAATTGTCATCATTGGCCTCCCTGACTCTAATCTTTCCAACCCCTAATTTATCACTTCCACACTGAAATGAAATCAACCTTTGCATTATCAAGTTGTTTCACAGTGCTTTTTAGAAATATCATCAGTTCCCTATTATTGACCACATAAAATTAAACAATTGTATAATTCATCCAAGGCCTCTCAAAATGTGAAATCAATACGCTATTCCAGTCTTGTTTAATAACATTATTTACCATAGACCATGATCACCAGAAGTCCAGGGGTTAATTGGCATTCTCTGATTTTCAAGTTTGAGTTTTATAACCCAAGATTTTTCTTACTCAAACAGCTTCTTCACTGATTCGCCGTGGCACAATCAGTTCCTGCCTAGAGACACTGCAGGTTTAACTGCAGGCAGTCAAGTTGCCCTCAGAGCTTGCTTCACCATCTCCTCCTCACTTTTTGGGTTCACTCTCTCTGCCACCCTCATACCCTCAGAGCCTGGACTGGCTCCAGTAGTCCTTTGAAAGAAAAAGAGAAATTCATACATATTGTGTATCTTACATATTCCAGGCACTGATCTAGGGACTTTTGTAAATGACAATGTTTTCAAAATTAGAATAAGTCCCTGAGTGAGTTATTATTACCTTAATCATGGCAGGTGAGAAAACTGAGGTGCAGAAAGGTTAAATTCATAGTGTTCTCGATTACTATTCAGTGATAGAGATGAAATGGATATTTAAAGTAGTTTTACTCTTAAAAAGATCTTAGCACGTTTGATCTGCTCACTCAGATGCCATACATTCAAAAAATATCTTTTGAGCTCCTAAAAAATGGACAAATACTTTTTGTCTATACTGAGAATCTCCAAGAGAAGTAAGTGGAGGAAACCAAACAGATACTGAAGTGTAAGTATTCTGGGATGACCTGGTGGAGATATTCAGAGAGTTATTGTCACAAAGAGCAAGAGACTGATGTCAAGTCATTGTTCCTAATGGCTCCCCACTTTGCAAAGCCTCATGAGGTCTTACACTCTCAATTACTAGGCCTCCTCTTCCCCTCCACAGAATGGATGAGCAGTAAGAGTCCTTGCTTTTCATGCACAGGTTCAAAAGGTGGCCTGTTTTTATACCTAATGCTCACTTGGAGCCACATCCTATGCATTTACTCCATGTCTTTCCAGATATTAGATTTGCATTTGTAAATTTCTATTCTTTTAATAAAATCGTAACTGAGGATTCTTCTTTCGCAGAAATATAGGCCACTTTTATAATGTTTAATGCCACACATCAGGAATTTAATCTGTGTCCTTCACAGAGCATGTTAAAATACAAATTATAATGTCCTTGGAACACAATGTACTGGATTTCAAGATAAAGCAGATTATTATAAATATTAATATTTTTGAATTAATAGAATGAAATATTAAACTATTTCAAACAAGAACTTTGATGTGTAAATCAAATTTTTGTTAATATTTCCAGCCTTCTAGAATCGAGGAGCTAGGCGACAGGGTGATTACTCAAAGCTTACAGCTTATCTCATCCAGTTGCTGGTACGTTAAATTTTAGTCTTTTCTGAGGAATTATGTAGAGAGAACATTTCTCCAAGTAAAACATGAGAAGCCAATGATCAACTAAGATGGATGACATTTGTTTATAAGTTCCCCTATTTTTCTTGTTTTAGAACGGAGTTCCCTCTATCTTTGATTGCTCAATATTGCAGGAAACTTTGTAGTTATTTATGATTTTGAAAAAACCATGGAGTTAATAGTTTATTATAATTACCACAGTTTCCAACTTAAAATGTGACTTCAAGTATGCATATGATTGAATAATTCAAGTGGGAACAGTGGCAATGTCCTGAAAAATCCAGAGTACATCCTATGCTATTGTATCATGCCAAGTGTAAAGAAATTAGAGGGGGGGGAAACCAACAGGGTTACAGTATTAATATCCTGGCTCTGCCACTCACATGCTATGTTAACTTTGGACCAATCAGTTTTACATTAAAGAAGACAAATAGAATTTCTAACGTAATTCACAAGATTGTTGTAAGAATCTGATAAGATACAGAGAAGATTGCATCAAATAAAACATAAAATCTAGCAAGATATCAAATATCAGATATTCCTTGTGGAAAGAGTATTTACAAATCAAAATATCCATGGAAGTCTAAAAAAACATATTTTTAAAAATGTGTTTCCTTATAGTAAACTTTATATTTTATCACCAGAAGAGTAATAGTCTGTTTCATTTAGTTTGTCTATTTAAAATTCAGTCCTTTTTCCAAAGCCAGTCCACTTTTACAAAAATGCATTTGAGTTGGTCTTAATTAAAAATAGGTTGTGTATTTGTCTGTCTCTGCACCGAATGAATAATTATTTTTAATTAAAAATCAAGAAATGCAATGTATTTTAAACTTCGTTGTCCTTTCCAAATTTGGCTAGTATGTTGATTCATAATGAATGCAGATAATAATTTTAGCAGACTCCAAACCATTTATTGAAACAAATAATTATTTTTTGTGTTTGTTTTGTATCAGGCCAGCCTTTATTTTAGATGCTACATAAGGCTCATTGTTGAATACCACTTTTTGAATATCAACTTTTTCTGTGTGTGTGATTTTTTTTCCCACAGAAACCTCAGTGCCGATTTTGACTCAGTATTTCTCATTTTCTCAATATAATACATGCATGAGATTAAAAATGAAAGCATATTTCATTAAAAAATGAAAGGAAATGCACAGAATACTGATGGCCAGAATCAAGGATAATTAAATGCATGTATGTAACCATATCTTATATCTGCATAGAAATAATCTGTAACACTAGAGGAAGGTAGGTAAACACTTTCCTCAGTCTCTTACAATACCCTAAAGTCATAGGATTCATATCACAGTAAACAGAGGAGTTTCTTGTTTCTCACGGTCTACCTCTAAGAGATAGCCGATGCTCTTCATTAACCTACAGGATTGCTCTCTCATTAAACGAGGACTTTACAATAAGGACCCGAAGCCTAGGACTGTGTAGATCCGTGATGCTGCATTGCTTCTCTAGGGAGGAGGATTCCCAAAGGAAAACCATAGCAGATGAAGACCAGGCAAGAATAACTGTATGTCTACATATATTCCTGTTGACTGATATTGAAAAGAAATGAGAGAGTGAAGTTGGCAGTCCATGCCATGTTAAGCAGGGCGACCCTGGACACAAGCTTGATATGCATGGAGTTCAAGCAAAAGACAAGGCTCAGTGTGCTCTTCTGCAGAGCCAAGTGAGGAATTCTCATCAGCACCCAATACCCATGACAGAGACCGAACACAGTACATTGGCTGAAAAATCTCCTCTGACTTCTCTCTTTGTCATGACCAAAACATCAATAAATTCCATAGACACTATCTTCACAGTATGTGCTGAATCCCGCCTCCTACCATTATCTCCCTACCTAGCAACCATCCCGAAGGGCTGCCACTGTTATCTCTTGCATTTGTCTCCAAATCCTTGTGCTAAAACTACTCCTGCAATCCGCGATATTTGTAAACCACTATGATTTTTCTGAACTCCAAGTTAATCATGGCATACTTAAAATCCTACTTAACATGCTCTCATGACTTACCACAGAAAATAGCATGATATTCAAATTTCTTACACTGTTTGCCTACAATGCCCTTCATGACCTGCTCTTGGCTCTGACCACGTGTCTCATCGATCCCCTTATTATGTCTTCTTCTCTAGCCACACCGACCTTATCTTTCACTCTTTAACATAGCAGCTCTTTTCTTCCTCAGGGCACTTGTTCCAATGTTTATGAACTAGATATCGCTATGTTCCCTCCCAACATTTCTTTAGGATCTCAGCTTAATTGCAGTTCATCAGAGGCCTTCCAAGTACACACTATATAAAGTCCCTCAAGCTCACCAATCCCACTGTTTTCTCCTGGAATGTTTAGGGGTTAGGATCTCATTATAATGATGATAAGTATCTGATCAGAATTATTATCCTGATTTTATTACTTTGATTTATTTTTTGTCTTTCCCAAGAAAAAATGAAGTGCATAAAAGTTTGCAGCTATTACATACTCTGGATGGATTTTTCCACTTATCATTAAATAATAGACTTGTCTTAATACTTTCTGTATTCATTTATATTAGTATAATAATACCATTGTTATAGTTAATTTATTTAGCTTAATATTTGTCTAGAATATTTCTTCATCTATTCAAATGTCTTGTGAAGTTTTTTTGTTAATATCTATGTCAAATAAAATATAGCTAGATTTTTTAAAGCTTTTCTGAAAATTTCGAGTTTTAACAAGGGAATTTAATCTGTTTTGAGTTACTGAAATTAAATATATACTAGACTTTTTGCCTTATTATTTAATTTTAATGATAATTTTACTTATAATTTGTTAGTTTCAAGCTTTTATAAGATTACTGGAATTTTTTCTCTCTAAAATTCTGTAATGTGTATATATAATTTTTGCTTCAAATGCTGTGCACAAATGTGAACAGCTTTATTTGGCTCTAATTCACATACCATACACATTACCCTTTCGGAGTGTGTGAGTCAATGGCTCTTAGAATATTCACAGTTGTGTTTCTATGATCACAAACAATTATAGAACATTTTCATTATTCCAAAAAGCAACCCCATATTCCTTAACCATCACCCCCTTATACCACTCCACCCCATACCCCCAGCCTTGGACAACCACTAATCTTTTCATCTCTATGTTTTGCTGTTCTAGATATTTCATATAAATGGAATCAAATGATATTTGATTTATCACTTCTTCCACTTAACTAATTTTAACTGTTTAACACGCTGGCAACTACAAACATGAGAATTTAGTAATCCTTGTCTATGTTAACTAGTATTTAATTATAATACTATATCCTAGCAGTTAAGACGTGGGCTCGAAGCCAGAATTCTAGGATTGAATTTTCACTGGGTAAAGGCAAATCCTGAAGATGAAATAATGAATACTTAAAACCTGGAAAATAAAAGCAGGAGTCTTTAGGTAATAAGAACATTGAAGATTAACATAAACCAGGAGAAAATTGAACACAAGCAAAGAAAATGGGATCACAAAGCAATGCTGAGCCAATCATTCTTCATATGCATTCAGATATCCAAATAAATATTGCCTATAGTGATATGGGTCTGGTGGTTGTGGTAGTAGATATTTTTGTTTCTTTTATTCCTTTTGTTCTAGAGAAATTAACATTTATTGAGCGCTTACTCTTTGGCACTGCAGTAACGTGTATGAACTATTTTAATTCTTTTAACCACACTGTGGTTATAAAATTTTAAATGTACTCATTTAAACTTATTTTTTGGTTTTATCTCTAGTTCTTTTAATAAAAAAACTCTCGTTTTTTGACTTGCTAACTCTTCTTAATGATTATGTTAATAACTGATGTATTATTCAACTAATAATGATGAGCTTAATTGAGGTGTGAGATTTACTGCTTTAAAACACATAGATAACCCTAAAGAAGCATTGGAAAGTTTCAGAGCCGAGGGATACAGGATATAATTACCGAGAAAACTAACAGACAAAATGTCTCAGTCTATTGATGAAAACACACAATACATCCTGGTGACATTTATTATAGGGAATATAGATACAAACAAAACTGGCAGCTTAACCATTACACATATAAATAAAAATAAACTTTGTTAGCAAATAGAAATCTGACTCCAGTCTATTCAATAAAACTATTTTTAAAATTTATTTATTTACTTATTTATTTATTTATTTATTTATTTATTTATTTATTTATTAAGGCAGAGTCTTGCTCTGTTACCCAGATAGGCATGCAGTGGTGTCATCTCAGCTCACTGCAACCTCCACTGCCAGAGTTAAAGCAATTCTCCTGCCTCAGCCTCCCTCCTGAGTAGCTGGGATTACAGGTGCCTGCCACCATGCCCGGCAAATTTCTGTATTTTTAGTAGACATGGGGTTTCGCCATGTTGGCCAGACTGGTCTCAAGCTCCTGACCTCAGGTTATCCACCTGCTTCAATCTCCCAAAGTGCTGGGAATACAGGCATGAGCCACCACACTCAGCCCAATAAAACTAAATTCTGAAAGCATTCAGAATTTTGCATTTGTAAGGGAATGCTTCTGAGTTGATAAAATACTTTATGATTTCATATTGCCACTCAGATGTAAGATAATTAAAACATATATTCAAATATGCAAAAGTTCATCATTTTTACTTTTAGTGTACTGATTTTGCGGAGGGGGAAAAACAAAAACAAAATTGATTTCTCCAGTTCAAAAATAAAACAACATAAAGAAATTAGAAAAAGTGAATCTCAGGCATAATGTTGTATAACAGCTCTCCAGTACAGATCATGCTGCAAACCTGAAACTTTATACTAAAAGTTTTGTTAAAAGTGTAGAGCTAGGCCTAAATATTTTTGTTTTTTTGAATAAATCTGATTAGATGATAATTTTACTACCTGCACTTTTAAGGGATACTACAGGAATTTCACCAAATATAATAAATAAAACAATCCTAAAATAAGAATATTATTTCTTCATTATACACTTAATACCAAAGCTTAGAGAGATTAAGAAAAATATCTAAGATAGAGAGCTAATAAATAGGAAATCAAGAATTCACACTGTGTTATATGTGATTCCAAAGCCTGTGGTTGTAAATATAAAATTATTTATAAAGATGTTATTTTTATAAACATATTTGTACATGTTTAAGATGTTCCTACTATATTAAAATATAATCTATTTACATTTTAAGCCAAAAATAAGCAATTAAGAAAACAGAAAAGATTATAGTTTTCATTTTACATCCTACTTTGGAAGAATATGAAATGGTTCGTATAATGTGTGCTCTTTAAAGAAATTGAACATAAAAGTAGTCAATTAAGCATTTTTCATGTGTTAAAGATGTAAAACAAGTATCCATTAAAGTAAGTGTAAAAACACAAAAGGTACAGATCTAAATGATCAAATATGTGTTATAACAATAAATGTAAATGAATTATATCATTGCAATAAAATAAGATATTTAGATGTAGCTTATAAACTATTTTCCAATTGTATAATGTGTATTAAATATGTGATTAAATATGTGGTCAAATGCAATAAAAATCATAAAACCATACATGTTACAATTGGTAAATCTAATCTACTTTATTTTGCTTTGAAATAAACTTTGTAATTGTTCTTATCCTTATATAATTTTGTTCATGGTTTTATATTTATTGAGTCATAGTGACGATAAACTTCATGATTTCACAAGAAGCCAGAGTCAGCCTTTAAAATAAGAAGCACATCATGCCATCCCTTCGCTAAAACCCTGGAGTGATTTTTCATTTCCTTTATATTTAAAAAATGTCAAAATGGTTTCAAAGCATCCAAGGCCATACATCATCAGGCTTTCTGCTGCCTCTCAACTTGACACCCATTTCTCCTTCCCTGGTTTACTCTGCTCCAGCAGAACACCATTTTTGTTGTCTCAGCATCTTTTCCCCTGCCAATCACAAAGGTGGCTGGCATGTTCTTCCTCTGAGCTCCTGGCTGTTTACTTTCTCACGCAATTCTCATCTTTACTCATGGGTTGCCTCCAAAGTGAGACATTCGCTAGCCTTTCCATTTAAAATCTCCCCTTCCTCTTGCTTGCATTAGTTTTTACCTTAGCTCTAATATATAATATATATGTTATTTGTAAGTTATTTGTAAGGTAATTTGTAGATTCAATGCTATTCCCATTGAAACACCATTGACATTCTTCACAGAATTAGAAAAAAAAAATTATTTTAAAATTCATTGGGAACCAACAAAAGCCCATATAGCAAAGACAAATCCAAGCAAAAAAAACAAAGCTGGAAGCATCATGCTACCCAACTTCAAATTATACTACAGGGCTACAGTAACCAAAACAGCATGGTACTGGTACAAAAACAGACACATAGACCAACAGAACAGAATAGAGAACTCAGAAATAAGACCACACATCTACAACCATCTGATCTTTGACAAACTGGACAAAAACAAGCAATGGGGAAAGTATTCTCTATTTAATAAATGGTGCTGGGATAACTGGCTAGCCATATGCAGATAGTTAAAACTGTACCCCTTCCCTGCACCTTATACAAAAATTGACTCAAGATGAATTAAGGACTTAAATGTAAAAACCAAAACTATAAAAACCCTAGAAGAAAATCTAGGCAATATGATTCAGGAAGTAGATATGGGTAAAGATTTCATGATGAAAACATCAAAAGCAATGGCAACAAAAGCAAAAATTGACAAATGGAATCTAATTAAACTATCAAGCTTCTGCCCAGAAAAATAAACTATCATTCGAGTGAACAGACAACCTACAGAATGGGAGAAAAATTTTGTGATCTATTTATCTGACAAAAGTGTAATATCCAGAGTCTAAAAAAATTTAAATTTATAAGAAATAACAAACAAACAACCCCATTACAAAGTGGGCAAAGGACATCAACAGACATTTCTCAAAAGAAGATATTTATGCAGCCTACAAACATGAAATAAAGCTCAACATCACTGATCATTAGAGAAATGCAAATCAAAACCAAAATGAGACACCATTTCATGCCAGTCAGAATGGTGATTATTATAAGGCCAAGGAACAAAAGATGCTGGCGAGGTTGTGGAGAAACAGGAATGCTTTTACACTTTTGGTGGGAATGCAAATTAGTTCAATTATTGTGGAAGACAGTGTGGCAATTCCTCAAAGATCTAGAACCAGAAATTCCATTTGATGCAGTAATCCCATTATTGGGTACATACCCAAAGGAATAGAAATCATTTTATTATAAAGATACATGCACAAATGTGTTCATTGCAGCACTATTCACAATAGCAAAGAAATGGATTCAACCCAAATGCCCATCAGTGACAGACTGGATAAAGAAAATGTGGTGCATATACACAATGGAATACTATGCAGCCATAAAAAGGAATGAGATCATGTGATTTTCAGGGACATGGATGGAGCTGGAAGTGTTATCCTTGGCAAACTAACACAGACACAGAAAACCAAACACTGCATGTTTTCACTTACAAGTGGGAGCTGAAAAATGGGTACTCATGGAGACAGGGAGGGGAACAGCACACACTGGGGCCTTTCAAGGGGGTGGTGTGGAGGGAGGGAGGGCTTAAAAAAATAGTGAAAGCCTGTTGGGCTTAATAGCTAGGTGATGGGTTAATAGGTGCAACAAACCACCATAGTACATGTTTACCTATGTAACAAACCTGCACATTCTGCACATGTACCCCGGAATTTAAAATGGTGTCTATATATGTCAGAGAGTGTTATAGTTTAGAAACTCAGGAGTGTGTAGCAAGGTTTTCTTCTACTATATTGAATTAATCAAAAAAAGTCTCAGCTTTTGCTTCCATTTGATTACTCATAGAGAGAGCTGCAAGAAATGTGTTAGCCCTAATGATATGATTCTAAGAAATACTTTTTGCTTTTGTCTATTTGGTTGGTTCATTTGGTGACAAGATGTCACCTGAAGAACACCTGCAGCTTTATAGGTGATGGCAGTGACATGCCCAAGGTCAGACAGAGGATAAGCTCTCAAATGAGATTTAAAATTAAATTTTTTGGTCTTTAGGTTTCTTGCTGGGGACAGACAAAAGAGAGGTGCACAGGTGATCTTAAGTAATAATGTATAGCTTTCAGACTAATTGAAAATAAAAATTAAAAGAAAAATAAAATAGCCTGATAGTAGGAATCTTATTTTATTATTTGGTTTTGTAACGTTCATCATCAAATTTAGTTTAAATTATAATATGGCATTATTTAGTGAAAATACATGAAAATTGCAGAAAATTAACATAGAAAAAATAAGGAATATGAAGTAGTACAAATGCCTTCAACTCAATTCTCTTGTGAAGTCTCTAAATATTTTGGTAGATTTTTTTTCTAGGATATATTTTGTTGTGTTTAGGAACAATTCATATGTCACCATAATCATGCCAGTTTTTTTTTTCTGTTTTGAATTTAATTCTTTAATGTTTCAATCTTGAACCTCCAAATCTGTTGTCAACAGGTTTCCTAATACAGTGTCAGCAAAGATATTTCAGTGATGCTTCAAACTGCCTTGAATTCAGAATTGCAAGAACGTTTCTCCGGAGAATACTTGAGTTGTAGATAAAAATGATGACACCAGTAATAATAATGCTTCCTTTTATTGAAATATTACTGTGTGTCAAAAACTGTCCTAATAAGAATTTATGTTTCTATTTATCCTTCAAAACTGTTTTTTTTTAAGATAAGCATCATTCCTATTTTGAAGAGCAAAATATACTGGTTTAGGTAAAGTAGTAGTTTACATAACCAAACAGTAATAGATTGAGATTAGAGCTAAGAACACTAGAGAGCAAAGTTCAATGTTACCACTACTACTAATAATAATGCTGCTGCTGCTAGTAATAATAATAATAAATCACAGAAAGTGGAGATAGGTAGGGAAGGTAGAGATAAAAGAAGAAAAGTGAGAGTGCAGAAAACAAAAGGGAAGGAAACCTCACTCAAAAGACTTTTCCACTTATTTAGTCTTTTGTGTGTTTGTGAAACTGACAAAGCAAGATTCAGTGGTGGTTAGGCACTATTGGGCAGTACCACTGGTGGGTGGATGGGGTGTAAAAGGATAAAACAACACACTGAAGGCAGCTGTGAAGTTTATTCAGGGATGCAGAAGGTTGCTGATGCCAGACCCATTGTAAGTAAGTGGGGGTAGATGTGCTGAATGTATGCAGAGCTTAAACCATCTTATTCCGTGAATGACAATGATGGTATGCCATGCCTATTATTAACCACTTCAAGAGCATATCAAGCGGTTGAGTCAGCACTGATTGCAGGTGTCAATGTGGATGGCAATAGTCAAGAGCATTCTTTAGTATACACTTATCGATGACCATGTTTGTTTAAATAGATAGACAACAGACTGAGCAGTGCATACTAAATGCAGCATTTATATATTAGGCACTGAACTTTTCACAATGTCTCTATACTGTGGTACTTTCTAGCAAACAATAATCTCTCAAAAAAACACAATCTCCTTCCCTCCTCTCAAAGTATCTTACATATGAAAGGGACAAATGAATACACATGGGTGCATGGAGAAAACTTGCTATCAAGTTTCCGGAAGATGGCCATGTCATTCAGCACAGAAAGCTTTAAAGTTCTCAAGGAATGGCTTTTGAGAAAAATTGTCACTGCCTTTGCAATCGTGGGATCGGGTTGCACAGACTAGTCAGCTGAAAGGAAATAGAAATATAAAAGCTGTGAGTTAAGAACTGCTGCCATCAGTCATTTAATCACTTCTGGACCACTGGCTTTGCAACGAGGCTTGAGGTAAGCTTGTGAAGGATACAGGCTTGTTTTGGAATAGATAGATGTCTCTCCTATAGCCTTGGTCAAAGGACAGTGGGCTGGGAAACAGAAGTGATTATTAGGAGGCCTGACTTCAACTTCAGCGCTAACCAACTCTCTGACCTTGGACTTGTCAGTTGATGCAAATTCCTATTCTTTCATGTGGAAACAACATAGAAGAAAACTATTATCACAGAGCTTAAAAACAGTGACAATGTTTAGGGCTTACCGTCACTTTGTACGAAAGAAACACATAGATAATAAAGGCTACAAACGTTTGTAGAGCACCCTCCCCATTGGCACAGGAGCTATATCAAAGTGTTTATGTATTTTTGCCATTTGATCTTCAAAATATAATATGTATACATATGTATATACATATACATATCTATGATACATAATGTATATGTATGTGTATATATACATTATACATATATACATATCTACCATAGATATATACATATAAAAGATACTTAATTTATGTATGTATGTATGTATATATCTACAATAGGTATGTACATATATATGTATGTGTATATATGTGTGTGTGTGTTTACTTTCTTACCTGTATCTTACAGATAAGGGACCAGAGCCTCAAGTCATTTAAGAACAAGTCTGCCTGCCTGGAAAGCACATTGTACCTACCAGGATTCCAAATAGGCCTCATAGACTCCAAAAGCCCAAAGTATTCTATATATTGCATAGTTGAGAGACACAATGTCAGGTGTTGGAGTGAAGGCAGCAATGATTTGGCAGAGCAGTCCCAGCCTCCGAAATGGTGAAAATTATGGAGAAGTAAGGAACCCTGAAGCCAGCGCTGCACTAAGAGTCCTTGTTTTGAACCTAGTTGTCATTCGCTAGTAGTCATTTTGAGTAATTCATAGAGCCTCTTTGATACTACCTCCTTATATGAAAAAAAATAGAGAGACTACAGGAACTTTTATATTGTTGTAAGAATCCTACATGCAAACAAATGAAAGTGTTTTATACAACTGAAAAATGTAATATGCAAATAGCAATTAGTTTTAGTATAAGAAATAAACATTGTCATAATAATAAATAATAAGAAATAAACATTGTCATAATAGTAAAGTTTTTGCTTATGCTTCTGCTGTACTAATGATTGTTATATTTCTATTTCTATTATTAAGTATGATGTTTTTTATTATTTCCAAGAGAACAGGGAGAATTACAATTTTAACTCTTTAAATTTAGATGTTAACATGGGCCCAGGAAACAACATATTCTAGTAAATATGTATTGAAAGTATGACATTCACACACACATAAAAGGTTAACACATTACTTTTAAGAAATCCTCAAAAGGCTTCATGGGAAGAGATCAACATTCAATTATAGGTAGAAGATCAGCAAGCAGAGAAGATCTGATAACAGCCAGGTCACTATGGCTTCCAAAGAAATTGTGCTTTTCACCTGCACAGGGGTTACTTGTTATTCTTGTCTAGGCTGTGCGATCACTGGAACCATTCCACATGCCTGAGTATGTTGATCTGGATTACACTAGATCTGTAAGCTACAGCAGGAGCTTTCTGATAGCAGGGAAATCATGAGAGGGCAGTTTCCCGCTGGGTGCAAAAGGAGACAAGTGTAACCTGAACTCTGGCCAAGTTGACACAAGGCCTGCATCAGAATGAATAAAGCCAGGAAAAATTCACAGAGAGAAGGACACATGTTCATTCTTCAGCCTTTGCAAAGTCAAAAGGCTTCTGGAATCTTATTCTAATCAAACCTTCTCTCTGCACTGTGACATGATTTTTTAAAAATCTTTGAATAGCCCTCATTATTTCAAACACTTTTTTATTCATGTACTTATCAATCCAACCTCTATCTATTTATTTATGCACTGATTCATTCATTTATCAAGTTTTGAGCTTGCTTAAGCTCTGAAAATAAATAGATGGAAAACAAGCACAAAAACAAAAAGTTTAAAAGCATGTAACTCTTATCCAGGCCCCCGAAGGGCTTGCCATCTCTGTTTTCAATAAAGGCTTTATATATATTGTCAAATTTAATTCTCATAACAAATCTGAGTAGATTAAGTTTCTGAATTCAGAGTGAGATTTCCCAAACCAGGCAAATTTGAAATCTAATGATGTTCTTACAAGACACACTGGTCTTCCTCTGGTGTTGAAAGTATTAAGATGTCTCTGCTTCCATTGCAATCTCTGTGGTTTATTCTCAGTCCTCTTTTTCCATGGCTCATAGTGGCCCATCTCAATCTTCCTGTTGTAGGCAATAGAACAAGTGCCGGAGTCATGTAAATACTAGTTCATTTGGAGAAACCTTAAGCAACTTATGTCATTCTTCCTAGATCTCCGAAGGCCCATGCTACTTCATTCAATCAATCAATATTTATAGATGCCAACTACATGCTGGACACAGCTAGGCTCTGAGATGATGAAAAGAAACAAATAAAATCACTAGAGTTTATGTATTTATTTGGCTTATCCTGGGACTATCATTTTTGGATTATCTTCTTACTGAACCATGGTTGTCATATAGACAGCTATGCCTAATCAAAATATGAGGGATTGTATGGATGTGAAGAAGACATAAGTAATTTTTTTTCACTTTAAGTCACGTATAGTCACAGAATCTGAGAGCTACTTGAAATTTTAGAATCAAGTTGGTTTAACGGTACCTAGTTTGGGTTCTCAGATTTTCAGGGATCATAAATATAAAAAAGCATAATTTGTATTTTTTAATATAGTTTTTAAAACAATGGTTAAAATACTGATGACAATAATGATAATAAATATTTTCATTTGGCCTGGCACTATTATGTTCTCTTTGCTTCTTTTTCTCATTTAATATTGTATTAGTGCATTCTCACACTGCTAATAAAGACATACTTAAGACTGGCTAATGTGTAAAGGAAAGAAGATTAATTGACTTACAGTTCAGCATGGCTGGGGAGGCCTCAGGAAACTTACAATCATGGTGGAATGGGAAGCAAGCATGTCCTTCTTCATGTGGCAGCAGGAAGGAGAAGTGCAGAACCAAGAGGAAAAAATCCCTTATAAAACCATCAGATCTCATGAGCACTCACTCACTATCACAACAACATCAGGAAGACATTTTCCTGACTTCTTCTGAGCCCTCCAAACTGTTCTAATCTCTTCCTGTTACCCATTTCCAAAGTTGTTTCTACATTTTTTTTAGTAGACTTTTTTTGAGACGGAGTCTCGCTCTGTCACCCAGGCTGGAGTGCAGTGGCGCAATCTTGGCTCACTGCAAGCTCTGCCTCCCGGGTTCATGCCATGCTCCTGCCTCAGCCTCCCGAGTAGCGGGGATTACAGGTGCCCGCCACCACGCCCAGCTAATTTTTTTTATTTTTAGTAGAGACGGGGTTTCATCGTGTTAGCCAGGATAGTTTCGATCTCCTGACCTCGTGATTTGCCTACCTTGGCCTCCCAAAGTGCTGGGATTACAGGCGTGAGCCACCGTGCCCGGCCGTTTTTTAGTAGACTTATAACAACAGCAGCATGGGGGTAACAGCCCCCATGATTTAATTACCTCCCACTGGGCCCCTCCGAAGACACATGGGGATTATGGGAACTATGATTCAAAATGAGATCTTGCTGAGGAAACAGCCAAACCATATCAAATCTTAACACCAAACTGATGAGGTAGGAGCTGTTGAAACACTGAACATATGGCTGAGTAAACTGAGGTGCAGAATGAAAAGGACATGCCAAAGTTCACACAGCTACAGAGTAGGAATTAAAAGCAAGATATCTGATGTCAGTGACCATAATTTAACTTTTATGCTATATAATTTACCAAATGTGTTCTGAACAGGTAACTCAAAAATGTAATAAGTTTGTTCTTGAAATGGAATTATGTAAACACAGCATAGTAGATCACTTATTCATCCAGAGAATTTCTCACTGATGGGGCATATGATTTTAGTGACATTCAGAGTATATTGTTCTTCTCTTTACCAAATTATTCTGGTGGTAGAAATTTGTGAAAAAATAATCATCTCCATTTTTGTTGAAGTTAGAAACTGAGGCCTAAAATAATTTACATAAACTACCCAAATGCTGACAGAAATTCAGAAAGCAGCCTGTTTTTCAGATTCCTCTTCCACAGATTAACACAATAACTATAAAACAAAATTCAAATGTTGATTTAAGGAGACCTAATACAGTAGCCATTCTTTTACATGGATGAAGCTTCACATCTTTAATTATGAAAGGTTTCATGGAAGAAGCAGTTGAAATTGATAAAAAAAAAAAGTGGTGTAGCCTTTCACCATATGATGGGAAGAGGGCATTATCAGCCCAAGATAATGAAATAAAATGTGGGCTTGTGTGTAACATGTTTTATCTCTCATTTGTAATGCAGTCTTCACATATAGCTGAGTCATGATAAATGCTTGTGCATTGCCCAGCTTCTCTAGACTCCTATCTAATAGGATTTTTAAAATACTTTTGCTTTCTTGAGGCATTTAAAACTTCCCAATATGTTTCTGATGTATTTTCAGGAAACAAGCAATGTCTCCCTGTCAATTGATGGAAATTTTTTTCTTTCCTCCAAGACTTAGATCCATTAGATCCAACTATCAGGTTTTCTGAAGTCAGAGTATCACAGTACACATAAAAATTTGTCCTCCAGGGTTTTTTTTTTTCCTAAGAAGGAAGACCATTATTTACTTATATGGGGCAATTTTATTTTTCAAAGTGAACTTTACACAAATTTAGACTCATGTTTCTAACTATTCTGAATCTACCACCTGCTTAGGGCTAGATATTGTATTACATATGTCATTTAATCCTAAAAAGTAAACAGATAACAAAACATAACCACAAATATATCAATAATAACAATACCAACAATAAAACATTGATATGTAGTCATAATCCCCATTTTAGATGGAAAAGTGAAACCTCTTCAATTAAGAAACTAGTAAGTTTTCTGAAATATGGATAGTGACAGGACTTTTATTCTGAGCTGTGAATGTTGATTTTATAGCCAGTGCTCTTCTCATTAACAGCACTGTTTCAATATTACATGTCAACAAACAGAAGTTACATTTCTTGAGAAAATTTTAGATGAGTTAAACTAAACAATGTATGAATTGAGATCTCTATAAACACCCAGAAAAAAGACTTCTTTATCCAAATACTCATTTCTCACAAGTGCATTTTTTGGTCACAAATATTTCTCAAATAGCTACTTATCCCTGGAAATAGCAGATATTTTGAGATTTGGGAAATCAAAAGACAAAAGATTCACACAGACGACTGCAGGGTGGATTCGAAAAAGTATAGCTATGTAGAGAAAAAGAAATTCCAGAGAAGAAAATAGCTGGGAACTCAATGGCAGTAGAGTGAATGATGATGTGTTCAGCAGATGAAAAATCACTCAATCCAGCTGAATTTAGGGTCCGGTAAGGACTGCGGTCCATAAAGATGAGGGGTATAAAGTGGGATTAGAGAAGTATGCATCTGTAAAATGTTGTAGATTTTCTAGTTTTTGAAAGTAAATAAAACTTAAAAGCTGTTAGAACACTAAAACTACTTTAAGCCTTGAGAGAGAGACAACAGCGATCTGAGTCACATATGGTTGCGATTTCCGTTTCTCAGATGATAGACGAACTCACTTTCTTGTTTTTCTTTTTCTGTACAGTGACTGCAGAGAATTAAACGTCAGGGACAAAAACCTCTTGCCTTCTTAAGTAATGAACCTTGTTAAAAATTAACTTCCCTTGTGTTTTCCTGCTCTGCTTAGACCAGATGACAGAAAAGCCATGACTATTATAACACCTACAAAAAATAGTAAACATATCCTTCCCAAAAAGGAAAACTGCTTATAATCAAATTTTTGTAATTATGCACCAATTTTGCATGAAAAAAATGTCATTTTCTAAATGACATTTTCCTAAAAATTTCTAAAAATTCTAAAACTGCTGAACAGTTCTCTGTCCCTGACTATATAAATAAATCCTTCACTGTCTTACTTCAAAACACTTACTATATTCCTTTGGAGTTGATTTTTCTGGGTTGGCCACCCTTATACTTTGCACTTGAATACATTTTCTTTAAACTTGATTCAGACCCTTTTGATTATTTTAGGTTGACAAGTCTTAAGGTAGTATTTTTACTGGAAGAACTTTTTGCAGTGCCCTAAGAAAATCATCATATTCTACAAAGCCTCACTTCGTGCACCTAATAACTGAACTCCAATATACATGGAAAAAAACTAAGAGAATTGAGTGGAGAAATACACAAACCAACAATGAAAGTTGGATATTTGAATATCTTACTTTTCAATAATGAATTAAAAAAATAGACAAGGGTCAACAAGGAAATAGAAGACTTAAACAACAACAAAGCAACTGGTGTTAACACATCTATATTTGTTTCTCCACCCACTATCTTCAAAATATGCATTCTTCCCAAGGGCACAGGAAAACTTCTTCAGAATAGATTATATACTATGCCGTAAAACAAGACTCTGTATACTTAATTAAAGTAAAACTACATTCTCTGAATTGAACAAAATAAAATTTAAAATCAATACAAAAAGTATTTGAGAAATTAAACAATGTGAAGACATATTTTTAAATGCATTTTTAACATATTTATAATGTATAACAGCTTTGTTTTAAAAAATATTAATATATTTTACACCATAACATAATAAAATTATCTATATTTCAATATTGTATAAGTAATATCAAATATTTAATATATTTGTAATAACACATTACTTAATTAATTAAAATTACAAATTATAAGCAATTTTACTTTAATAACAATTAAAATAATTAATATAATATCTATATTATATTAATTATTAATATTAATATTGATAACAATATTAATTATGTGATGTGATAAGCAATAAGTCAAACAATAATCATTAAAATAAATTTTAAAATACTTTAAAGTGAATGAAAATAAAGACAGCATAACAAAGCATGTGGCATGCATCTAAGGAAATGCTTAATGCCTGTAAACACCTATATTAATGAAGAAGAAATACCTCGTGCTTGCAGCCCTCACTCGCTCTGGGCTCCTCCTCTGCCTCGACGTCCACTCTGGCGGTGCTGGAGGAGCCCTTCAGCTCTCCGCTCTGCTGTGGTGGCCCCTCTCTGGGGGCTGGCCAAGGCTGGAGCCGGCTCTCTCTGCTGGCGGGGAAGTGTGCAGGGAGAGGCGCTGGCAGGAGCCAGGGCTGCATGCGGCACTCGCCGGCCAGCCCAGGTTCCGGGTGGGCGCCTGCTGGGCTTGATCAGGGGATGAGCTCCCTCTGGGCTGCCAGAGTTCCCACTGGGAGTCCCAATGAGTGGTGAAGCTGGGTGGCCTTCTGGGACGTGTGGGGGAACTTGGAGAACTTTTCTGTCTAGCTAAAGGATTGTAAACACACCAATCAGCCCTCTGTGTCTAGCTAAAGGTTTGTAAACACACCAATCAACACTCTGTCAAAATGGACCAATCAGCTCTCTGTAAAACGGACCAATCAGCTCTCTGTAAAATGCGCCAATTAGCTCTCTGTAAAATAAACCAATCAGTAGGATGTGGGTGGGGCCAGATAAGGGAATAAAAGCAGGCCACCCAAGTCAGCAGGCAACCTGCTTGGATCCCCTTCAACGCTGTGTGCTTTGGGTCTTTGCAGTGATTCTTGTTGCTGCTCACTTTTTGGGTCTGCGTTGCTTTTACGAGCTGTAACACTCACCACAGAGGTTTTTGGCTTCACTCTTCAAGCCAGTGAGACCACAAATCCACTGGAAGAAGCAAGCAACTCCAGACGCACTGCTTTTAAGAGCTGTGACACTCACCGCGAAGGTCTGCAGCTTCACTCCTGAAGTCAGGGAGACCACAAACCCACCAGAAGGAAGAAACTCAGGACACACCGTCTTTAAGAACTGTAACACTGACCGTGAGGGTCTGCGGCTTCATGCTTGAAGTCAGGGAGACCAGGAACCCACCAATTCTGGGCACAATTAATGTTGATAATAATATGTGATAATAAGCAATAGGTCAAACAATTATTAAAATAAATTTTAAAATACTTTAAAATGAATGAAAATAAAAACACAGCATAACAAAGTGTGGGGCATGCATCTAAGGAAATGGTTAATGCCTGTAAACACCTATATTAACGAAGAAGAAATATCGCAAATCAATCACTTAAGTTTATACGTTGAGAAACTAGAACAGAAGACCTAACTAAGCTCATAAAGGGATAATGAAGATTAGAATGAAAATAAATTTAAAAAAATAGAAAAATAATAGAGAAATTCAACAAACCAAAAGTTGGATTTTTGGAAAGAACCAGCAACAAAACTGAAAAAACTTTACATTAAAGAAGAGGGAGGTATCAGATTAAAGTGTAGAATGAAACAGTGGACCTTACTACTGATCTTAGGAAATAATAATAATTAAAATATTATAAAGAAATAGTGTAAGCAGTTGTGTGTCACCAAATTGTATAATTTAGATGACATAGACATTCCCTCGAGAGACCTAAGTTACTGAAATTGAGTCAGGAAGAAATAGAAAATGTGACTGGTTCTGTAACCAGTAAAACAATTGAATTGTTATTATTAAGGCTTATCACAAAACAGTCCCAGTCCCAAAATTGTTTCAATTATGAATTCTACTAAGTCTTTATAGAATTTACACCAATCTTTATACATTGTTTTTTAAAAAATTGGAGAGGACAAAACACTTTATAACCAATTGCGTGAATTTAGTATTGCTCTGATAACAAAGCCATACCAATAAATTATAAGGAAACTTCAGACAACATCCTCTATGAATAAAGAGGCAAAAATTCCCAACAGAATACTACCTAGCTGAATCTACCATATGTAAAAAGAATTATATACAACATCCAGGTGGAATTTATATCAGAAATTCAGGGTTTGTTTGACATATGAAACTCAATGTAATATCCCATAATAGTATTCTAAAGAAAAAAAAAACCACATGATCAACTCAATAGATAAAGAATTAAAATTGTTTCACAAATTAAACATCTTTTAAAAATAAAATACTCAACAAATTGGAATAGAAGGGAATTTCCCAAGACCATAGCTACCTTCATACTTAATAGTGAAAGATCGAAAATTTTTTTCATCAAATTAGGAACAAGGCAAGAGTATTTGTTCTTACAACATCTATTTAACATGGTTTTAGACATATTACCTAGAGTAATTAGGAATAAAAATAAAATATAAAGCATTCAGATTTAAAAGCTAAAAATAAATCTATCTCTATTTACAGATGACATTAAATTGAATAAAAAATAGGAATCTACAATCAGAAACAATAAATGACTTCAGCAAGGTTTTAGGATATAAGATCAATATAAATAAATCAATTGTTTTTGTATACTTTGTCAATGAATCATCCAAAAATGGAAATAATAAAAATATATTAATTTCTAATAATATCTGGAAAAATAAAAAAGAAACTTGGGAATACATTTAACAAAAGAAGCATAAAACTTATACACCAGAAACTACAAAACACTATTGAAGGAAATTAAAGAAGGCATAAATTGATGAAAAGACATTTTATATTTTTATGTTCATAGATATGAAGATATAACATGGTTGAGATGGCAACTCTCCCTCAATTGAACTACAGATCTAAAATAACCCTTATCAACTACTAGACGGATTTTTTGGAAAAAACAAACAAACAAAAACAACTCACAGTCTGGTCCTAAATCCATATGGAAATTAAAAAGTCCTAGCATGGCCAAAATATTCTTAAAAAAAATTTGAAGCTCTTATAATTCTTGATGTCAAAAAGTTATAAAATACTCTTATTGAGACAGTGTGGTATTGTCATAAAGACTTATAGAAAGAATGGAATTGAGGGTCAAGAAATATATTCTTACATTGGTGGTCAGTTGATTTTCAGGAAGTGTGCCAATGGGAGAATAATCATCTTTTCGGCAAATCCTACTGGTACAGTAGGATACCTATGGGCAAAATAATTATTCTGGACTCCATGCTACATATAACAGAAATTGTTATATGGACCAAAATGGATCATTGACATGTCACATATTATTTATTATTGACATGAATGTAAGAGCAAAAACTATAAAACTCATAGAAGGAAATAAGAATAAATATCCATGATTTTGGGTTGAGCAATGTTTCCTGGATGTGATACAAAAAGCAAGAGCAATTAAGAAAAAAATAGGATTTTCACGAAAATTAGAAAAAATATATACTTCTAAGAAAATCATCAAGGAAGTGAAAATCAGCCACAGAATGGGGGAAGATATTTTCAAATCATACATCTGATAAAGCACTTGTATCCAGTATATAAAAAGAACACTTATAACTCAACAAACATATAGAAAATTTAATTTTCGATGGCCAAATAACTTGAATAGATAATTCTTCAAAGAAGATATAAAAATTGTTAATAAATATATGCAAAGGTATTCAACATCATGGAAATCAAAATCACAATGAGGTACCACTTTGCATCTACTAGGATAGATAAAATTACAGAGAAACTATCATGTCTTGATGAGGGTATGGAAAAATTGGAACCCTTAAACACTGCTAAACGTTGCAGCCTCCCTGTAAACACTTTGTCAGCTTTTCATTTTATTTCTTTTTATTTTATTTTATTTTTTATGTTTATTATTTTTTATTTTGGAAACGGAGTCTCGCTCTGTCGCCCAGGCTGGAGTGCAGTGGCGCAATCTGGGCTTACTGCAAGCTCCGCCTCTCGGGTTCACGCCATTCTCCTGCCCCAGCCCCCAGAGTAGCTGGGACTATAGGCGCCCGCCACAATGCCTGGCTAATTTTTCGTGTTTTTATAGAGACAATACTTTGTCAACTTTTCAAAATGTTACATCTAGAGTTACCATATGAGTCAGCAATTCCATTTCTAGGAATTTACCCAAGAAAATTGAAAACATATGACTTCACAAAGCCTTGTATACAAATATTGATAGCAGAATTATTCATAATAATAAAAAGATTAAAAAAACCCATATGTCCATCAACTGATAAACAAAATTTAGTATATCCACACAATAGAATATTATTTAGCAATAAAATGAAATGAAGTACCGATATATACTACAAAATGAACGAACCTTGAAAACATTATGCTTAGAGAGTGAAGCCAACCACAAGAGGCCACATATTGTATGACCCCGTTCATATAAAAATTCCAGAATAAGCAAATACAGAGAGAGAAAGTAGATTAGCAATGAAGGGGCAATGAGGACTGAGTATAAGTGTATGTCTTTATGAGGTGGTACAAATTTTCTAAAATTACATAATGATGATGTTTGCACAACTCTGCAAATTTACTAAAAATTGCTGAATTATATATACACTTTTAAGGAGTAAATTGTATGTCAATTATATCTCAATAAAAATGTAATTGTTTATTTAAAAAGTAAACAAACCTCATTTCAGGTTGCATGACTTTGTACTCTTGTTCACCTTTTAGCTCTTGAGTTCCTCTCCAGCCTCTATGAGTTGGAGCTTCTTACATCTTTGGAGACCTCCAAAAGGACCAGATTCTGGATTGATATCTGATTTCCAAACCTAACAGGATCTACTCACTCTAAATCTTCACGGTGCCCAGGGCTAAAAGCAAGCAACACCTAAAACTGACTCTGTTATGTGGTGGCAGTTATAATAGTAACATAAGGCAGGGAGTCAGACAGAGTCATTCAGTAAGAAACTTAGACATCTAGGCATTAGCTGAGTTCTGCTGGGCTGTATTTCTGCAGAAAATTACAAAATCACATTTTGCATGAGAAAACAGAAGTTGCTGACAATAAAGTAAAACCCAACGAGTTTTATGTCCATTCATCAAAGAACTTTCAGTTTGTGTTTTGAAGTAGGTAAAACAATAACAAATACTGAGGAAATAATGTTAATCTGTATTCAGAGCATTTTATCATAGAAATATAGGAGAAAAACAATACTGCAAGTCTTGTTAGATTTAGCCAAATTGTGCTTACAGTGACAGTTAATTTTGCAGTGTTATATTGGAAAACACTTTAAAAATGAATGAGAGAAATTTTATTGCAGGGAAAAAATGATGCTCTTAGATTTTGAAGAAGACTAGTATTCTGAATGAGAAAGGTGAGAGAAATTTTCTCCAAACCAGTCTATGATTCTGGATATATTCTGATTTATTTCTTTGTCAAAAACACTGAGGAAGGAAGTAAAATATTTCAATTTTATAAGCATAAATGAACTGCAATGGTGGAGAATAAACTTTCCGGGAATAATTCATTCATTTATTTCATTTAACATTTACTGAGCTTTGGGCCACGCATTATCTTAACCATTAGAGTTACACTAACGAGAAGATACTACAGACCCCACTTTTCTCCTTGAGCTACAACAACCCATTCTCCACTCTGTTGACAAGATGAACTTTAAGGGACATACATCTTATCATATTTAAAACATAATCTGAATGTCTTACCCAGACCTTCAAAGCTAGACTTGTTAGGGCTTTTAAACGGGGAGAACCTGTTCTCTTTGTAAAGAATGTTCTTCCCTTAGTTCCTCTATCATTTTCATCTCAGCTACTCCTCAAAGGGCTCACCTCACCATCCAATGTCAAGGGGTGCAACAGACACTCAATGTTATTAGGTTGGTGGAAAATTACATGCGGTTTTTGCCTTTAAAAGTAACGGCAAAATCAAAATCACAAGGAGATACCACTTTGCATCTACTAGGATAGATAAAATTATAAAGAGAGAAACTATCATATGTTGATGAGTATAAGGAAAAATGGAAAGCTTTAAATACTCCTGGTGAGAATGTTAAATGTTGTAGCCTCCCTGCAAACAGTTTTTCGACTTTCCAAAATGTTACATCTAGAGTTACCATATGAGTCAGCAATTCCATTTCTAGGAATTTACCCAAGAAAATTGAAAACATATGTTTTTTACAAAGCCTCGTATACAAATATTGATAGCAGCATTATTAATAATTAAAAAAAGGTTGAAACAACCCATATGTCCATCAACTGATAAATGGATAAACAAAATTTGGTGTATTCTAATATATCACCATTCCCATAATTTTATTCTCTTTCTATAATTGCTCATTTTCTGAATTTATCATATTTATGTTTCACTTTTTAGAACATGTTCAGTCCCAACAGTTGATAAAATGCTGGCTCCAGGAGCTCAAACACCTCTTCTCTCTTCCTCACTGCTGAATCTTCTGTGCCACACTGGAGGTACTCAGTAAATGTTTGATGAATCAACTATTCCTGTCTTTGTTGTGGTTTATAGACATCAGAGCAAATCCATATCAATAAATGTAGGGAGTGCTCTAAAGAAGTGGTACAGTATAAGCATATATAATGGTGGGTGGGGAGTCTACTCTGGAGAATCAGAAAGTCTCCTGGTTAACTGAAAGCTGAGGAGATGGACATGAGCAGGGATGCAGGGCAGGGCTACAAACCTACAGTGGTGGACAGGATGTCGAAGCCCTTACTCTTTGAAAAAGCACTTGATAATTGTTAAATATAATTCACTTGCTTACAGATTAATTCATGAATCCACAAAAACTTGCATGTTACTCGGGGTAGCCATGTAACTCAGAAATGCTAATGTGGTGGTCTATGAGAGAGACAGAGACCCTAGGACCCTAGCTTTCTATGAAATCTCTGTCCAGAGTTCTCTGCTAGTTAAATAACCACACCAAAGGTCAGTGAAATTTCTCCCAATTGTTTCTCTGGACTTTGCCACTGTCTTGTTCTCTCCCACAAGCCCATTTCGTGGTCTAAGTATTTTTATGCCCTTGACTTTCTCTGTGTATTTCCCACCTTGCCTGAACTTTAGGCTTACCCAGCATTCAGTTTACTTGGTTTTAACATTCTATGCATGCAACAAAATATTACGTGTACACCATAAATATGTACAAATAGTATTCATCGATAAAAAAGACAAAACACTAAAAAACTATTATTTTAATAATTACAACATTGGAATAAAATGATCATCCTTAAGGCTTCCTCTGTTATAATAGTGGTGATAAAACAACTGACAACAGAGTGGAGAGGCTTCTGGAAAGTCTTCAACACTTCACAGCAACTTGCAGCTCTCTTTTTCCCACTGCTGAATCACAGGGTTAACCCAACATGTTCTACTTCTCAATTTCCCTTTGGGACCTTGCCTAGTTTTCTCTCATTCATCCATCTTTTCATCCAACCATTCATATTTCCATCTATCTATGCATTTTTTGTTCATCAATCCACTCAAACATTTGTTGATTTTACTAATTTATTCTACAAACATATTTTATACATTTAATGAGCTGGATGTTTATCTAAGTTCTACAGAATCATAAAGAAAATACACAAACTTCACCACAAATACTCATACTCACTTAGAAAGACAGATCAGTAAAAAACGAAAACCACGCCGGGCACAGTGGCTCACACCTGTAATCCCAGCACTTTGGGAGGCCGAGGCGGGCGGATCACGAGGTCAGGAGATTCAGACCGTCCCGGCTAACATAGTGAAACCCCGTCTCTACTAAAAAAATACAAAAAATTAGCCGGGCGTGCTGGCGGGCGCCTGTAGACCCAGCTACTGAGGAGGCTGAGGCAGGAGAATGGCGTGAACCCGGGAGGTGGAGCTTGCAGTGAACCGAGATCACGCTACTGCACTTCAGCCTGGGCGACAGAGCAAGACTCTGTCTCAAAAAAAAAAAAAAGGAAAACCAGCAATAAAAAAAGGAAAACCAGCAATAATTCTGCCTCAGGAAAAATAACCCAAAATTTCTAGTGACATTGCTATTCAAAGATTCTATGATGCAGACATGTATGGCAAACTGGGGGAGAAAGAGAAAAGAAAAAGAGAAGAAGCTGATGAAATAACCAAAGCAATGTACAAGTGGGATCAAGCAACATAGAAATGCTTGTTTATTGTAGCCAACTTCACACCATATCCAGGATTGGCAGAAACCGAAGGGCACAGGTTCCAACTTGGGCCACTTCCTACCAGCAAGTCAGTAATAAAGAGAGTTAGTTGCTCTCAATCTCAGTTTCCACCTATGTAAGATGGGAACAATAATCTCGACCTTAACATAGTGTTATGCTAATTAAATAAGAGAAAAATGCATATTAATTCTGTGACCCTATGCTGAAAATCCACGGATAGTTCATGCGGCGTTCTAGAGCATGAATAGGATTCTCTATTATTTGAATGTATAAGACCAGACTATGCCTGAAATTTATATTCTCTATTGTTATTTTATTTGACCTATGGCATGTTTATGAAAATGTGACAGAAAATGTGACATTATTGTGATTTTTTTCAAAGGACAGATTCTATACTTTCACGCACATTGGTAATAGCACAGCAAATCTAACATTGGTAAAAGTCAATGGCTTTTTGTGGCTAATAATTCATATAATGTTAGATTACATTCAGATGTGCACACCTTTCCTTCTCAGACCTAATACTTCAATGTATTAATCAAGTTGAAGTTAGCCACGTGCAGGAAGCCTTGTATTCAACAATGCGCTTTGTATCTTACAAACTTGGTAATGCATGACCTGTCTCTGAAGGATGAAACACTTCAGTTCTTTCTTTAATAACTGGGGGATGACGCCTCCCAAATCGGTTTCTGACAACTCAGGCATAGTTGATTAAATCACACATCTCTCCTCCCCCTTACTGTCCAAGAAATGCAGGATGCTCAAACTGAAGAGATGTTGATTAAGATGATGTTGGACAATTAATTATGCACCATGATAACCTCTGACCTGTGCAAGTTCTTTCTATTTTCATCAGTTCAGACTCCAAATTAACAGATAATTACATTCTTGTGTTTTAATCAAGCCGTGGGCAGCGGGGGAAAGATGGTGAAGTACAAATCAAGTCGAGAATTCATGCTGAGCTAATTTTTTTTTAAAATGAAAGGTTTGAAAGGATAATTATTTCAATTATTTTACTTTCTTTTATACCTAGAACTCTCTTCAAACAGAAGTCTTTGTGTTACAGCACAATCTCTGAGATAGAATATGCATTTGGGTAAAAAACAACCTACCAAATGTGTATCACGTAGCAGGAAGTATAGATCATGTGTGCAGTTCAATCAGTGAAAAAGTGTAAAATATGCCAAATGCATACCTAAAAGAGGCCATCATACTCTTTTGAAGCACATACAAAATTGAAAAACAAAAACAAAAAGAGACTCAGAATTACTTTAGAATGTTCTAATCAATAAATTGACATAAAATTGATGTACAGAAGAAAAGCCTGGCAGAAATATATTATTCCCAGTTTTATATTAAGAGTAAAATTAGCAAATTAATAGTAAAATCAGGGGTGGAAGCTCACACAGACAATTTTCAATTAATTCATGATGTATCTGCTTTATAGAGTAGTATGTATTCATTTTTAAAAAGACAAATAATATATTTTATCAGAACACAAAAGTTTATATACTGTACAATCAAAGCTATGCAAAAAAAATTCATGGACAAGAAAATGATTGAATAAATACATGCAAAGTCCTTGTCTCTGAGTAGTGAGATTATAGATATTATTTTCTCCTTTTGTTTTTATATATCACTATAAGACTCTATGCTTCTCAGGGAACTCATGTTAAATAACAATTTTCAAAACAACTGATTTACTCCTTTTTTCAAGGAAGACTGACATGTAAGCCTTTTGGCCAAAGTAGAAACTGCAGAATCATGAAAAGAAGCTTCATGTCACAGGCCTATCCTGATTGGTTTATTACCAGTGAATTTTTGGAATTTTTTTACTGAGAAGAAATGTGAGTTCATTTTCGCGGCTGGGAAGGAGAGAATGCTGGAGTACAATGTTAGTGTCTGCCGTAGACCGGGAAGGAATCCCAGCAGCCTCATGTGTGTTTGCTGAACCTAATGGTGGCCAAGGGTAGTCATCTGAATTCACAAGTGCTAGTCTAGTTTCTCAACTAGCTAGGAGGCTGGAAAGTTTCAAAGTCCTCATTTCTACTAGTGTTTATCATTGACATTGCCTAGGAAACTGTCGGAAATGCATAATCTCGGCCTGAAACAAGGTATTCGATTCAGAATTGGCATTTTAATTAGATCCCCCAGGTGGTTTGAAAGAATACTAATGTTTGAGAAACTCTGCTCTAGCCCAGCAGTTCATCTTCTGTAAAAGAGATTCCTAGCATCAGACTCCTAGTGTGGTTTTCAGAGATAAATGAGGTAATGCACATGAAAAACTTACAATGCCTGATATATAGTAAACAGTAGATAATCACAGATATTATATTACTATCAAATTTCTCTAATATTTTCTGATACTTCATATACAAGTATATTGAGATCCCACCTAAACCATAAAAGTTCATTGGTATTTGCATTCTAAACTCAGAAGTAAACAAACTCTACCTCCTAAAACATTTATATCAACATCAAATTCCACAGAGTGAACACTAATGAGCCCAAGAACTCAAAGAACTCAGACTCATCAAGCAAAGATGCAATCATGTTAGGTTGATGAAGGAAGACTAGGGACTTAGGTATTTGCAATCATTCTGATGAGAACTGAAATAAGAGAGTTCATAGACAGAAAATCCAATTCCCCAGAGGAGTCCCAGTTCCCCAAACATTCTAACAAATTCGAGGGTTTTTTTAAATTTTAAAAAGTATCTTTATTACAAATTGGAAAAATATGGAACACTTCACAAATTTGCGTGTCATCCTTGTGCAGGGGCCATGCTAATCTTCTCTGTGTCGTTCCAATTTTAGTATATGTGCTGCCAAAACGAGCACGAATTTGAGTTTTTATTAAAATTTACAGACTTTCCACCCACCTTTCCAAACATTTTTATCTCATCCATTCTTTTTGTTCATAGCCCATGACATTTAAACTGCAGAATTTTTGGCAAATTTTGCATCAGGGATTTAACAGAGAGAAACAATACAAGGCAGAAATAAAGGAGGAAGAAGTTACTTATAACAATACGTAATCATGCATTTATTTCTTAATTTCATCCACACTTAGTTTACATGTGTTATATGTGAGAAAAAATATATAGAGAGAGAGGAAATGAAGGGGAGAAACATAGGTTAACACATATATAACACGATTAGTGCTTATATAAAAAGAAGTGATCTCTTTTTGTGAAAAAAGTGGCTAAGGAGTATCCTTTGAAGAGAAAACTGTCATATGAGAACCTTTAGGATAATTATTTTATTTTTAGTCAGTTTATTAAGGCCCCAAGAGCATAAACCTGCTGAATTTTCTCTGCCTTCTTTAACATGCCATATAAAATAATCTTTCTCATCTGTCTCTGCTCAAGGACGTTTATTTCCTTTCCATGTTGTTCTATGCACATGTCATTTTCTTCTCTGCAGTCAGAGTAGGATGCTGACCTGATGCATTCAGCAGGGGCAGGAAGGGCGGCAGGGAGATGTATTGCTCTCTGTGCCTTAATATCCTGGCTGAACACACACCGTTAGGTACACAGCCACACATTTGGTTGACAGAGTTGCCTGTGACCCGTGCGACAGGGATTAATAGGCATCTATTCTTGGCATCTTACCTTAGTAAACCTCAGGTCACCTTTGTTGTTTGGAGATACTCCCTTATTTCCCCACCTGTGCTTGAAAACCCTCTTCTTTGCCTTCAGGGCCACTGACTCACCCTGATTGTCCTTCCTTCAAAGTGAATAATCAGAGTGAGGACAGGGTTATAATAAATGGAGAGTTGTCGCTTTCTGAAAAGCAGAAAACATTATGCTTAAGTTAAATATGAGTCAAGATCTTTACTGTAAAAGCTAGTGTTTTTGTACTCCAGGATGCAAACATTGCTTTGAATCTCTGGCCATTGGTTTTCTCTTCCATAAAGAGAAGAAACTGAATATAATCAGTCTTGTGAATAAATTCATTTCTAATCAAACTCAAGAGTCTCTAAGTGGCATCTATGTTACATTCTAGAAGTCGTTTTGATTCAATTGTGGTGTTTTTTTTTTGCTTTTGATTCTCAGGTACTGAATGTGCCTTTAAGATTTTCTGCAGTAAATTAAAAAGTTCATATCCTGTGTTTTAAAACTAGCTTCAAGCTAGAAACAGATTACCTTTTGGAATTAAGTTATTGTAGCTTTATGTCCTCAATCCTGCATAATCACTGATGTCACTATTTCTTGTGTTTGCTTCTGTTTCAGGATTCTAATTTCTTCTAACAAATCCCATTCTTGCCCTTGGCGACCTGTAAGTTGGCACTAAAGAGTTGCCTGTTGTATCAACCAGGACACTTTCTGTTACAAATAACAGAAGATCTCATCAAAATTGGCTTATAAAAAATAAAATAGAATTTACTGGTTCTCATTTTTAAGTAATTCTGGTGGTAGACATAGCTTCAGGCATGATGATACAATTGCTCAAGGGATGTTATGTGTATCTTGTTCATTTCTCTGATGTTGCTATTGACTGCACTGTGCCCACTGAAAATTCAGATGTTGAAGCCCAAACCCCCAATGTGACCATCTTTGGAGAAAGGGCTTTTAAGATGGTTAAATGAGATCATAAGGATGTGGTCCTAATCCGACAGGACTTAGGACCTGAGAAGTTTAGAGAATTAAGGAGACTTAATTTAGATTAAGTTAACCAGGCTAAAAGAAAGGCACACACAAAAAGCAGAGAAGGGAGAAATATGTGTGGAAGAGCATGATGCATTTGAGGACTCCTAAGGATATCGACAGGATTGGTATCCTTACAAGAAGAAAGAGTGAGCTTTCACAGAGGAAGGCCACATGAGGACACAGTCAGAAGCCTGTAAGCCAGTAAGAGCGTCTTCGTCAGAACAGCACCCTGCTGACACCCTGATCTCTCGACTTCCAGCCTCCAGAACTGTAAGAAAATAAATTCCTGTTGTTTCAGCCACCCAGTCTATGGTATTTTCTTATGGCAGACCAAGTAGAGTAATGCAGCTTTTCACTGTGGGTTTGCTCCTTGCGATAGGTTAAAGTTAGCTATAAATTATTTGCTACCACTCCCATGGAGAGGTAGTATATAGTTTCTGCTCTCTTGAACTCAGACTGGCCTTAGTGTCTTGCTAGGCCAATAGAATTTAAGAAACGTGATGTTCTGAGATTTTTAAGGATAGGTTATAAGAAACCTTGTCGTTTTCTAGCAGGTTCTCCTAGAATCCTCACTGTAGGGGAAGTTAGCCATGACGTATGAAGTAAATTATCCTGGGTTAGAGAAAAACACAAATGAATTTAGAGGTGTAGCTAGTGGAGAGAATTAGGTTAAATATTTTGATCATGTGTCAGGTATTATGTAGTCCTTAATGAATAATAATGGGAAATAAGTAATGTTGGTTGAGGGCTCAATGTGTGTCAGGTATGTAAGTGATTTACATAAATATTTTAACATACACAGATTTAAATATCTACTTAATAATACATAATGTATATTAAATATATGTACATATATTTAAATAATATATAAACATGTATTATTTAATACATTAAAATCTGTATTAATTTATATGTATGTGTGTGTGTGTATATATATATATAGTTGCAGAAAGTCTATTAGATAAAATCAGTATTGTGCTTAGTTCAAAGATAGGGAAACTGATCCTTAAAAGTTAATTAACTCAACCATGGTCGTTCAAGTGTTAAATGGCAGAAAGAGGATCTGGCTGACAAGAATCCTAGTTCTCAACCACTACACAATTCTTTTTGTTCTTTCCTTGCTGCCTGATTTTATTGGTACACCACTCCCCACCACATCAGACTTCTCTGTTAGCTTGTCTTCCCTAATTCAACCTGAACTGGCACTTTGTAGTTACTACTATTATATAATATTATACATTGCATATATGTATTACTTAATACAGCAATAATGTTCTCTACCATTTAATGGTTACCTATGTTCCATTTATTAAATTGATCATTTCAAAACAATTAGTAAACCTTATCCCAATGATGTTGGGAGCAGGCCCCCCAAAATCTGGCCATAAACTGGCCCCAAAACTGGCCATAAACAAAATCTCTGCAGCACTGTAACATGTTCATAATGGCCCTAACGCCCACACTGGAAGGTTGTGGGTTTACGGGAATGAGGGCAAGGAATACCTGGCCCACCCAGGGTGGAAAACCGCTTAAAGGCATTCTTAAACCACAAACAATAGCATGAGCGATCTGTGCCTTAAGGACAAGCTCCTGCTGCAGTTAACTAACCCAACCTATTCCTTTAATTCGGCCCATCCCTTTGTTTCCCATAAGGGACACTTTTAGTTAATTTAATATCTATAGAAACAATACTTATGACTGGCTTGCTGTTAATAAATATGGGGGGAAATCTCTATTCGGGGCTCTCAGCTCTGAAGGCTTTGAGACCCCTGATTTCCCACTTCACACCTCTATATTTCTGTGTGTGTGTCTTTAATTCCTCTAGTGCTGCTGGGTTAGGGTCTCCCTGACCGAGATGGTCTCGGCACAATGATGCTAAGAGATAGATATTTTAGTCTTAACTTAGCAGAGGAGGAAGCTGAGTTCCAGGAAAGCATTGATTGAAGGACATTGTAAGTAAGACTGCACAGCTGTGTGGCCAGGTGCCACTTGACTCTTATGGTTCTGAAGCACTTCCTTTGGTTAATCTCAGGGCTCTCTCAGCTTTCATCACTACACACAGATGCTAAAGATTTTAGCAAGCAGTGTATAAGCTAGAGCTGCCACCTCCACTCTTGCTCTGACAGTTTGGACAGGTATTCCTTCAAAGAATGGAGTGTTTCATTTGTCCAATTCATCAAAGTTCTGCCATCATTTATGTCATGCATTAAGCTACTAATGTCTTAGCCTTTGGTCTCTCAGTACAACCTTCAGTTAAATTGAGCTGGGAATTTACAGGTGAAGGGCCAAATGAAGAAAGAAAGCAGAAAGAAGGAAAATTTAATGTCAGTTTGCTTCATTGCTTTAGCCAAGATGAGACAGAAATATCAGGATTTATTATTACAACGTTTATCTAGTCTGATATTCTGAGAGCATGTGAGCTGGAAAGTGGGTTCAGAGAGTAGATAACATACAGAAAACAATTTTGAAGCCACAATGGAAAATCTCTATCTCTATAGTCATATCTTGCTTTAGGGCAGTTTGACCAAGATAGTTTATTTATAGACTGGTCTCCAAATCACACATGGACATTTCAAACAACAAATCTATGCCATATGATGACATTTGCCATCCCAAAGAGATGGATCAACATTGATGCAGGGAATGTGTGCACTGAAGTTGGAGGCAGAATATTTTTCGGAGTCAGATACCTGGGTTGAAGATATAGTTCTGAAAGTTATTAGCTGTGACACCTTAGATAAATGAGCCAACTTTCCTGAACCTCAGTTTCCTTTCTATAAAATAAAGATGAACAGGCTTGCCTCATGAGGTAATCACATAGGAAAACTATTAATAGAGACGATGTATATAAATTATCTCATGACATGTATGATTTTTATGTTGTCAAAGTAAATGATGGCTATGGCAGTTTATTAATATGGGATTATTTTTGCTATAAGCCTGAAGTGAGTTGGAAATGTTTCTTTCTATTCAAAATTACATAAACAAAGGAGAGCTATTAAGATGGTATTGCCAACACATGAAATAACTGAAATGTTTTTTAGCTGTGCTGAATTCTAGAATATTTGCCAAAGAAAATCATAGAGTATTCATGAATATGAGTTTGTACATATGTTTGTAAATAGTATGTATATATTTTATATGTTTTATGGCTATATTTCATCTACACATTCATTAAAGCATTCTTTACTCACATATTAGATCCTGGTAGTCAATAGCCAATCTAGGCACAAAGAATTGTAAAATTAGAGTCTAGCCTTACGGCTAACGCCATGGGGTTAGAATTCATATTTGGTTCAAATCCTGACACACTGTACTAGTTGTTTGTCAGGGGCCCATTTGACAAAATAAAAGCACAGGATTTGCAATAGAATGAACATGGAATTACAAATTAGCTATGACTCCTGGGTCTCAGTTTCCTCATCTGTAAAACTGGGTTTGGGTAGGGTTTAAAGAATCATGTATTTGTTTTTGGTGAATTAAACAAAAAAAATCTATTTACACTACTTAGCAGTTCTGAGGTTACTAATAAAATGCCGCTCATATATAGTAGCCAATATTTTATTATTAAGACCTTCAAGTGCACTAAAGTATATTGCTTTAGCTACAGTATAAATAATGTAATAAGATAAAATAAGGAATCTACTGTTTGTGTATTATCATTCTAGGTATTTAAAAGTCATCTCATAGAATGGAACAAGTAGGACTTTTATTGTTTTTTAAAGACAAAAACACCAAAGACAAGAAAATTTAAGCAACTTGCAGGAGGCCAGGCCTGGTAGCTACTTGACCCTTTCTGCTCAGAACACAGGATTAGACCTCTTTTTGTGAGACAGCAGTGTTCATAGTGCTCCAGAGGCCAGACAGGAGATAGGTAAGTTACCTTGAACCTGGGGCACAAAGAGGAGGCTGAGGCCCAGAGAGTTTCTATTATAATAATTTCCCACAATGAGTTAGTATGGAAAGGAATAAATCAAGATGGGCTCACAATTTTATCTCATGTTAATTCCATGGGCCCATAAACACTTTATTTGCATGTTGAAATCAGAGAAATGTTTCTCAGTTAAAAAAATATATATGCACAGCTTATACGTTCTTGAAATATACAGCATAGCCAGAACTACCCTTTTTCACCCCCAACATGCAATAGAAGGTTAAGTTCAGCAAGTACTTCATTTTTCTTATAACTCTAAATGAAGGAAATCAACAGTGCAGTGGTGATGATAAATGATGGTTGGCACTTGTCCTGAGCATGAGTGTTTCACAGGAAGTAGAGGGGATTTTGGCAAAGGAGGGCCCTCAAGCTCCATCAAAGGTGGCAGCTCCATCTCAGGTCCTGCTCATGGTTGCCTTGTGAGTGCCTGCTTCCATCTTACCATAACTTCTTCCAAGCAAAGCCTCATATCAGGTTGTTTGTGATAAATATCCCACTTTTTTAAGCACTGGGGAATGACTTTTTAAACTATGCCACCAATACAAAGCTGATTCCTTCTTTTAATTTTACAAACTCCACATAGAGTGAATTATTTATATTTTTACTTTTAACTAGCAGCAGAGTAGGTCCTAAAGCCCATGTCCACGAGACCAGACTCAGTTGCCTCAGTGATTAATAAAATGTTCAATGGATTCTTGCTGCATGTGTCCATGCTATGGTTATCCGATAGTCAGCTATGTGCAAGCCAAGTCAGGCGTGGGGATGTTGTAAAGCTAATTAAACACCCTGGAATGAAAATCTTTATTGACCAGAAACCCATATTCAGAAACTTTCATATTTCTATTAGCTATACTTAGAAAGATATGGGATTCGTTTTCCCACATGAAAGCAGAGAAATAGGCACAGCTGTGCTGGATCCTTATGTAATTGAAACTCTGCGGCATGTCATTCAAATCCCTCTGTGATCTCTGCCCTGTGAAACTCTATAATTAAACTCACTTGTCTGTATATACCTACACTCTAGTCACTTCACTTACTTAGACTTCCAAGAACACGCATGCTTTTTTTTAATACTAACAGCTGAGGAAATGTATTTTTCTTTTTGTAATGTCCTGTACTCCTTATTCAGCTTGAGAACGATATCTTTTTTTGTCTTACATTAACTTTATATGTTTAATATTTTTAAATTTCAAAAGCTTTTGTGGTACAAGTGGTTTTTTGTTATGTGAATGAATTGTATAGTGGTGAATTCTGGGAGTTTAGTGTACCCAAGAACCATGTCTTGATGCTAAAGTCTCAGCAGGTCTTTCTCTGTGAAGCCTTATTGAATTTCCTACCCCCGAGCATAATTCATGAACCCTGTTTGCGCAGTCCCTGAGTCAGACAGTTGGCCACTAATGATTGTTTTAAATATATGTCTTCCTAACTGTCCCGTAATTTCCTCTAAAGCCAAAGCTGTATTCTATTGATCTTGAAATCTTTGCTGTAGCGGGTCTTCTAACATTTGATAGGTACTATTCTTGATAATTAAATGAAAGAATTGTGTATTTCTTTTTACTATTATCTTAGGTTCAGGGGTACATGTGCAAGTTTGTCACATAGGTAAACACTGGTCATGGGGTTTTCTTGTACAGATTATTTTATTACCCAGTTGTTATTACCCTAATACTTATTATTATTTTTCCTGATTCTCTCTCTTCTCCCACCTTCCACCCTCTTCATAGGCCCCAGTGTGTGTTGTCCCCCTCTATGTGTCTATGTGTTATTATTTAGCTCCCACTTACAAGTGATAACATGTGGTATTTGGTATTTGATTTTCTGTGCCTGCGTTAGTTTCCTAAAGACCATGGCCTCCGGCTTCATCCATGTCCCAGGAAAATACGTGATCTCATTATTTTTTATTGATGCATAGCATTCCGTGGTGTAGATGTACTATAATTTCTTTATCCCATCTGACATTGATGGGCATTTAGGTTAATTCCATGTCTTTGCTTTGTGAATAGTGCTGCAATGAACGTGTGTGTGCATGTGTCTTTATGATAGAACAAATTATATTTCTTTCGGTATATACCCAGTAATGGAATTGCTGGGTCTAATGGTATTTCTGTCTTTAGGTCTTTGAGGAATCGCCACACTGTCTTCCACAATGGTTGGACTAATTTACACTCCCACCAAAAGTGTATAAGCATTCCCTTTTCTCCACAACCTTGCCAGCATCTGTTATTTTTTGACTTTTAGTAATAGCCATTCTGACTCATTTGAGACAGTATCTCATTGTGGTTTTGACTTGCAGTTCTCTAATGTTCAGTGATGTTGAGCTTTCTTTCATATGTTTCTTGGCCACATGCATGTCTTCTTTGGAAAAGTGTCTGTTCATGTCCTTTGCCCACTTTTTACTGGGGTTGTTTGCTTTTTTCTTGTAAATTTGTTTAAGTTCCTTATAGATGCTCAATATTAGACCTTTGTTAGATGCACAGTTTGCAAAAATTTTCTGCAGGATGTCAGTTTACTCTTTTGATATCTTCTTTTGCTGTGCAGAAGCTCTTTAGTTTAATTGGATCCTATTTGTCAATTTTTACTTCTGTTGCAATTGCTTTTGGCATTTTCATCATGAAATCTTTGCCTGTGCCTATGTCCCGAATGGTATTGAATGGTATTGTCTGGGTTGTCTTCCAGAGTGTTTATAGTTTGGGGTTTTACATGTAAGTCTTTAATCCATCTTGAGTTAATTTTTGTACATGGTGTAAGGAAGGGATCTAGTTTCAATTTTCTGCACATGGCTATCCAGTTATTCCAGCACCATTTATTGAATAGGGAATCATTTTCCCATTGCTTGTTTTTGTCAGGTTTGTTGAAGATCAGATAGTTGTAGGTGTGTGGTCTTTTTTCTGGGTTCTCTATTCTGTCCCATTGGTCTATGTGTCTGTTTTTGTGCCAGTACCATGCTGTTTTAGTTATTATAGCCCTGTAGTACAGTTTGAAGTAGGGTAACATGATGCCTCCAGCTTTGCTCTTTTTGCTTATGATTGTCTTGGCTATTTGGATTCTGCTATGTTCCATATGAATTTTAAAATAGTTTTATCTAGTTCTGTGAAGAATGACATTGGTAATTTAATGGGAATAGCATTGAATCTATAAATTGCTTTGGGTAGTATGGCCATTTTAATGATGTCAATTCTTCACATCCACGAGCATGAAATGTTCCTCTGTTTGTGCCATCTCTGATTTCATTGAGAAGTGGTTTGTAGTATTTTTACTAATAATAGATTCATTCCATGACCTCTAATTAAATATATTTTTTTCTTTTTCAACTTTTATTTTATTATAACTATTGTTATAAACAATTGGTTATTTTAGATTCAGGGAATACATATGCAGGTTTGTTACACGAGTAAATTGTGTGTTGCTGAGCTTTGGTGTACAAATACTTTCATTACCCAGGTACTGAGCATGGTACCTGATTGGTAGTTTTTTGACCCTTACCCTCCTCCTATGCTCCATGCTCAAGTAGGCCCTGGGTTTCCCTTTCCATTTTTGTGTGCATGTGTACTCAATATTTAGTTCCCTCTTGCAAGTGAGAATATGTGTTATAGTTGGTTTCCTGTTCATTAATTCACATAGGCCTTGAGTTCCATCCACATTGCTGCAAATGGCATGACTGTTCTTTTTTGTGGCTGCATAGTATTCCAGAGTGTACATGTACTGTATTTTTTTTATCCAGTCTACCACTAATGGACATCTCATTTGATTCCATGTCTTTTCTATTGTGAATAGTGCTGCAATGAACATGAGAGTACATACATCTTTTCAATGGAATGATTTACATTCCTTTGGGTATATACTGAGTAATGGGATTCCAAGGTCAAATAGTAGTTCTGTTCTAAATTCTTTGAAAAATCTCCAAACTGCTTTCTACATTGGCTGAACTAATTTACATTCCCACTAGCAGTTTATAAACATTCCTTTTTCTCCTCAACCTTGCCAAAATTGTTATTTTTGACATTTTAATTACACCTATTCTATTTTAAGATAATATCTCATTGTGGTTTGGATTTAGATTTGTCTAATGGTTAGTGATGTTGAACATTTTTTCATATGCTTGTGACTCATGTATGTCTTTTTAAATACGTGTTCATGTTCATTGTCCTTTGTATTTTCTTACGTACCTCAGAAGTATCTGTTCCTGTCCTTTGCACATGGGGTTATTTATTTTTTGCTTGTTGATTTGTTTAAGTTCCTTACAGATTCTGAATATTAGACTTTTGTCAGGTGCATACTTTGCAAATATTTTCTGCCATTCTGTAGGTTGTCTGTTTACCCTGTTGATAGTCTCTTGCTGTGCAGAAGCTCCTTATTTTTATTAGGTCCCACTTATCTGTTTTGTTTTCACTGGAATTGCAGCGGATTTTTCATAGATGACTCTTCTAAGTTAAACTACCTAATGTTGGCAATGGGTTTTTCATAGGTGACTCTTCTAATTTTGAGGTATGTTCCTTTGATTCCTAGTTTTTTAAGGTCTTTTACATAAAAGAATATTGAATTTTATCAAAAGTCGCTTATGCATCTATTTTTTTTTTGTCTTTTAGTTCTGTTTATGTGATGAGTCACATTTATTGATTTGCATATGTTGGACCAAACTTCCATTGCAGGAATAAAGCCTACTTCATTGTGGTGGATTAACCTTTCGATGTGCTGCTGGATTGAATTTGCTATTTTTTTTTTTTTTTTTTTTTGAGAATTTTTGTGTCTATGTTCACCAGGGATATTTACCTGAAATTTTCTTTTTTTTTTTTTTTTCATTTTGTCTCTCACAGGTTTTGGTATCAGAATGATGCTGGCCTCATATTATGAGTTAGGGAGGAGTCCCTCTTCCTACATTTTTTGGTATAATTTTGGTAGGATTGGAATCTGCTCTTCTTTATACATGTGTTAAAATTCAGCTGTGAATCCATCTGATACAAGGCTTTTTCTGGTTGATAAGTTTTTTTTATTACTGATTCAATTTTCAAACTCATTTGTTTGTTCAGTTTTTTCCTGTTTTAATCTTAAGTGGGTACATGTTTAAAGCTTTCAAGTTTTTCCTGCTTTAATCTTGAGTGGCTGGCTATATGTTTCCAGGAATGTATCCATTTCTTTCATGTTTTCTAGTTTGTGTGCATGGAGGTGTTTATTATAGTCTCTGAAGGTATTATTAATATTTTGTATTTCTGTGGGATTGGTCATAATGTCACCTTTGTCATCTCTAGTTGTGTTTATTTGGATAGTCTTTCTTTTTTCTTACTCTTCTTAATTTAGCTAGCAGTTTATCAATCTTATTTATTTTTTTACCAACTTTTGGTTTTATAGATCTTTTGTATGTATTTTTTTGCCTGTCAATTTCATTCAGTTCAGGTCTGATTTTGCTTATTTCCTGTCTTCTGATAGCTTTGGGGTTGGTTTGCTCTTGTTATTCTAGTTCCTCTAGGTGTGATGTTAGATTTTTAATTGTAGATCTTTCTGTCTTCTCAATGCAGGTGTTTAGCACTATAAACTTCCCGTTTAACATTCTTTTAGCTGTGTTCCAGAGATTCTGGTATATTTTATCTTTGTTCTTATTAGTTTCAAAAATTTTTTTGATATCTGCCTTTATTTCATTCTTTACCCAAAAGTCATTCAAGAGCAGGTTGTTTAACATTCACGTAATTGTATGGTTTTGAGAGATCTTCTTGGTATTCATTTCTAGTTTATTGCACTGTGGTCCAAGAGTGTGATTGGTGTAATTTCATTTCTTGAAGTTTGTTGAGAATTTTCTTATGGCCAAGCAAGTGATTGATCCTAGAGTATGTGCCATGTGCTGATGAGAATAATATATATGTATTTGTTATTAATGGGTGGAATATTCTGTAGATTTCTGTTAGGTCCATTTAGTCAAGTGTTGAATTTAGGTCCTGAATATCTTCATTAATTTCCTGCCTCAACGATCTCTCTAACCATGTCAGTGGGCTTTACAATTCTGACAGAGCCTGTTGGTGACACAAAGTCAAGTTAGCCTCTCTGTCATTTGCTTCATCAGTAGCAATTAAGATGAAGTATTGAGAACCATGCTGGAAATAAAAATTAAAGTTGACAATAAACACCATGAAGTGTAAGCAAATTATCCACTTTCCATGCTAATGAAAGTTATGTCATTGTGGGGACCAAACGCCAAAGTGCTGAAAATTAAAATAATTGAAATAATTGACACCCCATACCTGTATTAAGGACTAACTACAAATTGTGCTGTTGTTTCAAATTCAAAAGAACAAACAAACTTCCCTACTCATAACTTGTTTTACTAATTCAAATACGGATGCCACATTTATCTACCCATACAGATGATTAGCAATATTGGGTATAATGTAGAACTGTTCTCTTTTTGAAGATCTGCGAATGCATGCACAAAGCAGTATTTCCTGAGAGTGGTGGAATGGAGATGGGGGGAGAAGACATCACTCAATAATATTGAGGAATTGGATCAATCTTTCTCACGTATTAGAAAGTGAATGGGAGGAACATGATAGAATAGATTTGTTCATTTATGAAACATATATCACATGGACACACTTGGATAAGCATTGAGCTGGGTGACAGGATACAAAATCATTAGGGCACTATCCATCTTCTGAAATACGCACAGCCCAGTGGACAAAAGAGTCACATTATCTAAAATTAAAAATGGGAAGAGGGAAAGAAGAACAGGGCATAAAAACAAGAAGGCTAATTTGCCTAATTAAAAATCAAGTTCAGATTCAAACCCATGACTTTCTGACTGATTGGGGGCAGAAGTGAAAACTCATATTTATCAGATTGCTTACAAATTCACATTTTATGCCAGCTCATACCATGCATTGCCTCTTACCATTTTCATAACAGTTTCCTATTTACTTTTCTTCTCGCACAAAATACTATTAAATCTTTCAAAAGAGAAGGCACGGAATCTCCCATGAGTGCAATCCAAAATCCAGCAATCAGAGATACATCTTTCTGAAGAAATAATGATTCAAAATGCAGATGCTGTGGTGAGATAGTCACTCCTCTCAGAGGAAAACTTAACCACTGAGCACAGACAAGCTTTTCGTCAGAGCTGTAGAATACAGATATAGATATAAACTTGACCGGAGACAGACTGTCAGGGTTAGAGACGGGAGAGCTTGATCGGAAAAAGGCAATTAGTGCCAAAGAGAACTTGCAAGTGTCACTCTCTTAAAATGAGATTATAAGATACTCAGAATGGAATCGTTTCCCCTAGAGCTTCTCTTTTTAACAAAGGCAGTCTTTAAGTGCTTGCCGGCTTTTGCTTTCAAACTCTGAAATTCCTAGGTCTGAGTAAATAATATTTCAAGTCTCTCTTCCAGATTTTTCCCCGCCTCCCCTCCATCCTCCTTCCTGGAGTGGAGCATTGAAATTGCTTTGTCCAAAGTTCTTTATTTCTGTTAGAGGTTACACTTGGATTCCAAGGTATTCAGGAAAGGGGTGAGTATTGGCTTGGATAGCAATGCAGCAATATAAAAAGGAAGGCATAGCCATCAAATATAATTAAATAAAAATGCAAATTGGAGTTTAAAATCAACAGTGCTCAGAACCAAATACATTTCTGATTATGTCTGGGCTATCAAATACCAAAGCTACATCACCAGAAAGATTAGAAAATCTATTGAAATTAGGAAGAGGCTTTTTAAGTAGCTAAAATCTCAAATAAATGGAAATAAAAGATGTATAGAAAACAACCATATAATAAAAACATTAAAAAGCCCCTCACCAGCACTGACTCTGCTCCCATTCGAACTAGACTTTTCTTCACTTGCCCCTAAGAATCTGCAAGAGCTCATCACTGCTCACCTTTCCACATATGTCACCCTCATCCAGGCAAACCCTTTTTCCACACCCTCCAATCAGACAACTAACTTCTCTCCATCTTCAAACAAAGTACAAACTCAGATGTCAATGCTCCTGAGAACCTGGTTCTGCCCCACCAGGACAGAGTTTGTCCTCTCTCTGGGTGGTGTCTCCACACTCAGTTTCTTGGTATTTTGTGTCTGTCACAGTCACCACAGTGCCATGTCATCCGTGCTTTCTTCATGCATCCTGACCGACTTGAGGGCAGAATCCGTGCCTTTGTGTTCCAAGAAATTCAACTCAGACAGGACTCTCTGGGGATCAAAGTGCCTTCATGAAGCATATTCATTGCCTGTTAAAAGGATCTTCAGAATAGTTGCTTCTGGTGTTATTTTGGGAAAGGAAAAACAGCCTGTGAACATATAAATTCCACATATTCAGTCATAAACTGTATTTTGCTAAGAGAAAGTTTGCTACAAAAGTGGTTACTCTCTAGCACATTCTGCAGAAGGGGTACCTCTTTGATATTTTTAAGGTGGGCTTTTAAGATTATCTTGTAAATATATGAGAAGTTTGAAAATAAGTTCTTAAACAAGCTTAACCAAATACCCAGTATGCCCCCCCACCCCCTTTCTTTCTGCCCCAAATCCATGTTATGACTACAGGCTTCCTGGACTGATGTTAAAAACGTAATACTGTGTTTGGATATAGCCTTTGGGAAACTTAATTTTTTAAAAATAAATAACTTGGGTTCTCTGTGTGTGTGTGTGTTTATGTGCGTGCGTGTGTGTGTGTGCATGTGTGTGTTTATATTTGCCTTCTCTAAAGAATGTCATGGTGGAAACATCAAGGGCTGAGGATCCATGATTCTTTAAATAGGTATTTGTACAACACTGGGCAAATTTTGTAACCTATGTATGTATTCATGTTTGACGCCTCAAATTAAAACAGTGATTGTCCATACCAACCACCCACTGCCCTGGCCCACATCCTGCTTCCACGACCTGACCAACCAATTTGGTCTAAGCAGCAGTTCTATAGGCAGAGAGTTTGTTCTATCAAGATTTTTCAAAATCTAATTTTATAAGAAAGACAAAAAATAGACAATTTTCATATAGAAATTTAGAGAAAAATGGTAACTATATTGAAAGAATGGAAAATAGATAGTCATTAATTTTTGATAACAATTTATGATGAAAGAATGAATTAAAAATTTACAAGGCATTCTCCTGATAGCTAGAGATCTTACCTTCACTGAATTCAACTGTTATTTCTTGGGGGAAAATAAAGGTGCTTTTTCTTCCACCATCCCCTACTCTGGGATTTGTTGCCAGGGAACAAGGCTACAATGAGGAGAGAAGAGGATTGTGGAGAAGATTTGCAATAGAATCATGTAATTTAGAAATTAATGTATTTCTCTCTTCACCACAGGGTCATTGTTAAGTTAGAGAACAGAGAGTAAGAAAAGTGATTTCATTTTTTAAATCAATTACAAGTCATGTTTTAACCTGAGCAACTTTTATAGAAATATATCACAAAGGAAAAAAACTTAAGAGTGAAGATGACAATATACTGAAAACATTGATTGTTTTTCTGACTATATTATTAAATATCAAAATGAAAAAATAAGGGTATGTTTAAGTAAGTGCTGGCTTTTCAACTAGATGAAAGAATGTGCAGCCATCTGAATTACCATTTTGATGCCCATAGAGAGATATTGCTTGTGGATCTTATGATCCTTGTATGTGTGAACTCTTTAATGGGTGAAGACTCTTCTAGAGCAAGCATGGGAATGCCTTGGCCTAACAAGCCTTGAAAGAAAAGATGCTTGTATCCAGGTATAAATGTTCTAGGTCTATGAGAGTATGTATCATCCATATATTCTACACATTGGGAATGTTTTAAAAGAAGCTATGAGCAGCTCTTGTATACAGAGGGGTGTTCTGGGGACTGATGGGATGCTAGTGAAGGGGTGAAAATGCAGTTGGACCCACTACCTCCAGGTTCAGCATGTTTTTTGTTTGGTTGGTTGTTGTTGTTTTAAGACACAGTCTTGCTCTGTTACCAGGCTGGAGTGCAGTGGTGCGATCTCAGCTCACTGCAACCTCCACCTCCCAGGTTCAAGCAATTCTCCCAGGTGGCTGGGACTACAGGCACGAGCCACCATACGCAGCCAGTTTTTTTGTATTTTTAGTAGAGATCGGTTTTCACCATGTTGGCCAGGCTGGCCTCGAACTTCTAACGTCAAGTGACCTGCCCACCTTGGCTTCCCTAAGTGCTGGAATTACAGGCATGAACCACCACGCCCAGCCTAGCAGGTGTTTTTTCACTCATGTTCAATATTACACTTTACTTTTTGGTTAGGATTCCGTGAAATTAAAAAAATCACTCCAGGTCTTTTTAAACAGGGAGTGATTTAATAAAGGAAAGCAGGCCTAAAGCAGTAGTGTCTTAGTGTCTAGGAATGATTCCCATGTCAATGCAGAAGGCACCCATCGGTGAGTCCTACTTTAGACACAATTACTGGACTCATGCCCGTACTTTCTACTCAGGAGTCAAAAAGACAATCTTGCCTTTTTGTTCTTTGTTTTATATCTGGTATCCAGGTGTCATGCACGTGTATTCAGTTCATAGAACTTTATTTTATATCCAGAACCCTGGTTAAAGGTAGTTTGTGAAATGCCATTTTTAACCTTTTAGCTTCTCCAACTAGGAGGTTGAAATGAAGGTTAAAGCAACCAATTAACAGTACCCAGCATACTGGTTTCTTCTCTATTCATAAAGAAATGTAAAACAACTTAACAAATGACTACATATGATAGTATCCCCAAGATATTTCTTTTTATCTAGAAATGTTAGTAACCACCATGAAGGGGGGAAAAGCTACAATGTTCTGTCAAGGCAGAATCGTGATTTGCTAGTGACATCAGAACCAAATGAGAGTATGTGGTGAGTTTCATTAAGAAAGAAGACATACTGGGCTATAGTTAATATGTGTAGTAATCAAATAAATCGGACTTATAGGTTACCTCTGAGTTAAATTATTCTGTCATTTATTCAACAATCCATTCATTCACTTCTTTTTAATTTATTTTTAGTCATTCACAACCATAAGAATTTATTCCCACAGCTTAATCATAATGAAGGGCACTTACTCTTTACTATCTTCTTCTTATATATTGACAACAACCACTATCATTATATACACTCTTTGAGATAATGCCTGATAACCCAACAAAATATCTATTAATATCCTCTTTGTACAAAGGACAAACACTGAAGCTTAGAGCAGTCTACCTACATTTATTGAGTTCCTATCCTGTGTGAGGCAATGAGACAGATTCTAGAGACTCACGGATAAAACCCACCAAGTACCTGCCCTTATAACACTAATAGTCTAGTGACAGACACAATTAAGTGAACATACAAGCAATGATAGGCTTAGGGCATAGCAGTTTGAATGTGGTGCTGCATTCACTAAACATCATGGTGAAGGAGGAGGAAATTTTCACCAGTAAAATATATCCCATTTTCACTAGCTAGAAACATCACTGAATCCTTGATTAAAGATACTGTGATTGTATTAGTCAGATCACTCTAAATAGGGCCTACAGCACTTCCCAATTAATAGATCAGCAGTAATCAGCAAGCTAATTACTCCCCTGACTACAGTTGATTTCCCCTCTAGAGAGAGAATGAACAATGTGTGGGAGAAAGTTAAACAGCAGCACAGACACACTATCAGGGGAGTCTGAGCCCTTGGGATCAAAGACCCCATGGCAAGTGTGATCCCATTAAAGGAGAAGACAGGAGATGGGCTGAGGTGGCCAAGAAGGACAACAGAGTCACCAATAAGAAAGAAAGGACAGAATCATAAGAATGACCATTGGACAGTATCTTGGAGATGACGGAGTCCAACCTCTCCATAGGAGAAAATTGAAGCCAAGAAATTTAAATACACACACCTAACACTAACTAGACCCTTTGAAATTTTAGGATCCTCAGAAAACTGATGTTACTTATATTTTGATCCTCATTTCGACATTCATTAACTATGTGATCCCGAGAGGGTTGTTAAGTTTCCTTTGCATCAGATTTCTTATCTACGCAAGTGGGAAAATGTAGCAAATACCTCATAGTCTCTTGCAATGAGAAAATAATAGAATGAATATAAAGCCCTTGAAATAGTGCCTAGCCAATCTTAAGAGTTTAGCATTAATTTTAATTAATTGTTTGTTACTTTTGTATCATTGTTACCTCTATAACAATACTGCTCTACCTACAGGAACTGCTATGCACATTACTATTTTTAGTGTAAGACATGCTCATTCATTCAATTATTATTCACCAAGTACCTGCTCTATGCCAATCCAGATGTAACTAATCCCCTTAAGGAATTTGCTGTCTACTAGTAAGATGGAAAGAAAATACCACAATATTACTGTAAAGTTATTCATAGGGGAGAAAAGAAAGAGTACAGAGATATGGGGTCTAACTTAAGCTGGCGGGGTGGGAAGGACAGGGGAAATTTACTTATAAGAGTTGCATGTTCAAATTGCCAAAGATTACAGAGATATTAAGTAGCAATGCTGGGGGAAGGCTAATTTCAGAAATTCACCATTTCTCATGACCACTATACTCAGAAGCCTCTGAATATTTGATGAACCAAATTTATTGGAATTGAAGAATAAGTAGATAACAACAAGCACAAAGACAGGAATCAGGAATCGACTCACCTTAATGTGTCTCTTCATTAAAATAAACATTTAAGCCCCATCAATGAAAACATTTTTATCGGCTTTATGCTGTAGCTTTCTGAATTGTATTACAATTCATGGAATCCAAGTTTTTTTTTAATAGCATTATAAACAAATTGTTTGGCAAATGTTAAAGAAGTTATAGACAATTAAAAATCCTTAAGCTGCATGAAAATTCATTGATAATTAAGTGAGAAAAGTAGACAGACAGGTTTCACACCCTCTTGTCATTTATATTTATATGACATCCATTTATGTAGAAAGGACTGCATGCTAGTCACTGTACTAATATTCTCAAAATTGGACTTCTCAATGACCTGATGAAGTACACAGTATTGGCCTCATTTTATCTGTTCAGAGGAGTTAGCAATTTGTTAACATTTGTGAAGACAATAAATAGGTAGTGACCAAGAATTAAAATCAGGAATATATGATGACAAAGTTGATAATTGTTATTCTACTCCACTTAAATGCTTTCAGCATAAAATATCTAGAACATATACAGATAAAAATGAGCTACAGTAATTCTAATGTATGTTAGTAGAACAGGGAGCTAGAAGCTACACTGGCTGTATTTCACAAGGCTTTCTCTCTTAGCTGACTCTGGAGGTCCGGTGGTTGTCTCTTGTTACTTTTTTTCTTACATAGCTTTTCTTATTATATTTGCAATGTAAATGATACTGGATGAGGAAGAAAGGTATTTTGATAGCCGAACAGGCATTCATTAAATTTAGATTCAGCTACCAATATTAACTGAGCATCTATGATATGCTGACGCTAACAATACCACTGAGTTTGGTATGCATGATTTTATTCTGGCCATATAACATCTTTTCAGTGGTATTAATGGCATTGATTCTGTTTCTTGTATCCAGGTTACCTAGTATTCTGACTCTCTCTCTCTCTCTAGCTCTCTGTCTACCTGTCTCCCCCACTCCTCCCTCTCTCTTTCTCCTCCTTTATTTTATTTTTTAACCAGATTTATCTTTGAAGTATATTCCAAGCATCTTCTTCAACATAAAGCCACACCAGAAGAAATCAAACCAAGAGATGACTAGAGAAAGAAATTGAGTCCTGATGATTCTGCTTGAGTTGCTACATGCAGCTTTCTATTCCTGGATATCTCTAAGCAACATCTGGCCTTAAATTGCTGCCCTTTCTTTCCAGAAGGAAGACTACAACAGGAGTTGCCCAAATTGATTGTCCCACCACAGTTAGTATCTTGATTCCACCTGTGAATTCAGAAAACACTTCAGTCATTTGAAGAGTGAAGGGGAGTCTGGGCATGTTAAGAGGTAGATGTATTTGACCAGATCCTAAAGCCAAGTATGTGAGGATGTGTAAGGGCCTGATACCATTACTGCCAATCCCTGCTACCCTTTCCACCTACACATATGCCAGTCACTCTAAATCCCAGCTGTGCTCAGCCTTGGATCTCTCTGCCCCAGGCTCCTTCTAGAGGCCAAATAATATCTTAGAATCTTTGATTATTTTTGGTCATTTTTTGGAATTCACAATAATCAAAAAAACTCTGGAACTCTCGAATACAGTGTGCTGCTTCTTATGCTCTTATAGCAAAACAAAACTATTGATTTCATGGTTATAAGAGCGAGAAACTTAAAAGAATCATAGCTCTAGATTCTGCTTCTAGAATTAGACCATAAATCTCTATTTAGCCAAAATTAGAGGTTTAATTTACATAGAGACATTTCTTATGCATTCTATTATAAACTTGGTTTGAGAGGACCATGACACCCTCAAAAAATTATTCACCCATTATTTATATTCAAACATGCATTTTTAAAATTTATGTGTGCCTTCTCATGGGGGACACTAGTATCAAGGGAGCCAGCATCATTTCCAGCCTGTTCGTTATACACCAAGACAGACAGAGAGCTGCATGTCCGCCTTGAGAGTCACCGACAAATATTTGTCAAAAATCAAATTATTTATTAAATAATAGTATAAATAAATTCCTTTCTACCACTGAAATTCTATCATATTTTACAAACATCTCTTTGATAGTAATTATTACCTTTTTTCATTATTTTACATTTGTAGAACTCTCTGGGTGTACTATGTCTTATGTCACCAGAAAGCAAAGTGCAGGACTTTCCTTCCAGTCATCATATTTGATCAATTTGTTCTTGGAATAGGACAGGGACTCATCCCTGTTCCGATAGACTACAAGCCTTCCTTCAGAAGAAGCCGTGGCAGGGAAGATCATCACAAAATGACTTTAAGAGTGTGACACATTGAAAGAGGACTCACTGAGGCCTGTGGCATTTGTAATGAGATGAAATTGTCATTGAGAAACCTACAAATCTTTTTGGGAAGTTCTGACACCGGTTTGTGTCATTAGATGATGCTGCCTGCCACCACCTTGACAGCTGCATAATAAGAACAAAAGGCTCTCTGCTCAAGGACAGCTGCAGCACCGGGGCTGTAGCACCATCAGCTGTCATTTGGAGCTGACAGCCTTCTTGATGGTGAGAAGACTTGGAGCTGCCATGGGCATCTCATTCAGTAACCAGAGTCTTTCCATTCATGTCAGTTTCCAGCCTAACCTCAGGTTAAGAGACGTGTCAGTATGACCCTTAGGAGTGTAATAGATCTGGTCAATCAAATGCTGTGAATCCCTTCTCAATGGAACAAAAGGTAGCAGTCTCAGAAAGGGTGGGTGTGAATAAAGCCAATCACCCAGATGGTTGCTCTAGGGCTCAATAAATAGTCACACTCTGACAATTTTCTACCAGTATATGTGGTCATTTGCAAAGGGCTTTCACATACATTATCCTATTTATTTCTCAAAATAACCCTATGAGATAAGACAAATAGGTACAGTTATTACCATTTTATAAATAAGTCCATTGAGATTGAGAGAGACTGAATGGCTTGCCCAAGGCTGAATACATAGTCATTAATTAACCCTGGCTTAAATGGAAGCCTTCTAGTCTTCAGGTTCATAATGATAAACACTGACCAATGATATAATTTTGACCAAAGACAGGTCAAAATCATTGAATGAGAGAGGCTTACTGAATCACGCTTCAAATGCTAGCTGATATTATGTCTGGCTTCCCTGTCTCCTAATGGTGTTTTCAAATATGTGTCCAGATTCCAGCTAATTTCTCAATTAATTAGATTCACAACTATTCATGAAAGACAATGCACAGAGAATTCCACTTGATATTTTTACATATTATCCATTTTTACTTTACCCTTACAAAAATAACCCTTTGAATTGGTTTCTATTATCTATATGTACCACAAGAGGTAATTGGAATTCCAAAAAAACAAGAAAAAAAAAACTCTAGTGACATCACACTGTAGGAAATGTTAGAACTATGCCTTGAACCCTTGTAATTTGACACTGAAACTGTCCTAATAAAATTAATACAACTTAATTGCTAGATTCTTAACAAAAACAGAAGCTTGGAGTAGAAGCAGAGCAAAGCCTGAACCAGCTTGCCCTAGAGCCACTTCCTTAAAGCTAGCACTTAGAAGTCACCTACCCCCATCACAAGATCCTAACTTCTGTAGATAACATCCTTACCATTAATAAACCTCAAATTTTTCATTTGAGATATTTTGCAGATCCTGCATTCCAACAAGTCCATTGATGCCAGCCAGCCTGAAGACCCCTCTAAGGATGCCACTCGGTATAGGAATGTGGTTTCTTCATCTCCCTATCCCATGACTCAACCTTTCACTTTGCAAACAATCAGCAACCCTAGCTCCTCAGCTCTCTACCCACCAAGATTCCCTTAAAAACCCCAGTCCAAAACTTCCAGGAGGGGTAGATTTGAGGTTCCCTCTCATCTTTTCTTTGGCTACTGTTTGATTATTAAACTCTTTATCTGCTACAGTTCCTGCTGTTTTGATGCACTGATTGGTTACCGTGCACTGAACAAGAATCTGATTGTGCTATAACAACACTGTACAGGTTGATTTTCTTTATGCAAATATTCTGAAATGTGGATATGCACACATAGGGTCTCAAAGTCCTATTTTTAAATATATATTTTTAAATTTTTCTAATAAGAAAAGATCAGTAAGTGTTGCCACATACTTTGTGGGTCCAACTCAAAACAGTTCATTTTCAGGCTTGTAGGCAATCAAGATCAATCAATGTGACTGACTATTCTTTAGTCAGACATTTCTTAAAAAGGGAATTCATGAGTCATTGAGTAGAACTCTATCTGGTGCTCTAAATTTAGTCCATATTAATTTGATTTATATCAACACAAATATGCCTTGCAGGACTAGTGCAAGGTTTTGGGATAAGTACTGTGTTAAACAAGAGAGGAGTCAGATCATTTTCTTTTTCTCAGGGGCCAGTTCCACAGTGTGTGAGTGTAAAAAGTCCACAAAACAGAATGAGAATTCAGGTAAGAATGTTGAACCTATCTCTTGTCTTGTGCCATCAAAAGAATTTGACACTCATAAAAATCAGTGTCAAACTGTATTAGTCTGTTCTCTTGCTGCTAAAGAAGACATACCTGAGACTGGGCAATTTATTAACAAAAGGGGGTTTAATGGACTCACAGCTCCACATGGCTGGAAGGTCTTACAGTTATGGCAGAAGGTGAAGGAGGAGCAAAAGCACATCTTACATGGTGTCAGGAAAGAGAGCATGTGCAGGGGACCTGCCCTTTATAAAACCGTCAGATCTCCTGAGATTTATTTACTATCAGGAGAACAGCATGGGAAAAACACGCCGCCATGATTCAATTACCTCCCACTGGATCCCTCCAATGACATGTGGGGATTATGGGAGCTACAATTCAAGATGGGATTTGGGTGGGGACACAGCCTAACCATATCACACACTTTTGCCATAATTGTTGGCATATAGTAAGTCAGATAAAATACACTACATACTGTATAACTCATTTTATATAAAACTAGAAAAAGCAATCTAATCTCTGTTGACCAAGAGCAGATAGGTGGTTGTCTGGTTACCAGGGGATGCAAGGAGTGGTTGCAGTGAGGGAGCAGAAAGAGACACAAGAAAATTTGGGGATGATGCCATTGTACACAATCTTGATTGTGCCCATGGCTTCATGTGTGCATACACATAACAGAGCCTACCCAATGGTACCCTTTCAATACAACTTCTGTGGTTTCTTGCATGTTTTATATACCTCAATAACATTGTTTAAAAAGTAAATTACTGGTAATGCTTTTTGAAGTTTGATTAATAATTACACATAAATAATTTAAACTTCTAGTGAATCATATTTGGATTAAATCAATTAAAGAAGAATGAATAAACTATATATCCCTTATCTGGCCTCTTAATTTCCAGGTTATAATTATTGGCACCTATGTACCAAATTTTACTGAGTATTTTCTATCTCTGGCACTAGGTTTTTCTTAGTAACGGAGTTCTAGCGGACTGAAATCTTGCTTCAGACTTTTTCCACTTAAATATAAGGTCTTTTTCCCCCCGAAAGACATGCTAAACATATCTTATGTTAATGTACATACTTAAATATTAATATCTAGGATTTATACTTTATATAATTACATGTCAATGTATGTTTATGTGTATATATTTCATATTCTTTGTTCATATGTACATTCTTGTTATATTAAATACGACTTTCATTAACAAAGTATGTGTTTGAGGAAAAGTAGTCATTCTCTTATAAATATTTTTCGAAAGAAATGGGTAATCCAAATCAAGCCTTCAAGCCTTCCAAACTTTAAAATGATAAAGAATATCTAATTAAATACTTAACTAATAGTAAAACTGTGAAGATAACTTCAAAATACAACGCGGAAATAGTACAGAAAATTATGACACACGAACTTGATGGACCTTTATGCAGCCATTAAAATGATAATTACGAAGACTATAAAACAAAATGAAATGCTTATAATAAAATATTGAGTGACAAAGGCAGAATGCAAAATCATATCTATGCTATAATTAGGTTTTGCACAACACATACTTAAGGAGTTTGTAACTCAGTTTCAAGCATTGTCTTAGGTCCTGCAGTTACAAAGGTAAAGAAAGAACTGCCCATAGCTTTAAGAAGCTCAGTCTCATTGCGGGAGACTGACATGCAGTAAATGAGTATGATAACCTGTAAGACCTGCTATATAATTATATAGTGCAGAAGTAGGTCAGAAAAATAAGTAACAAAGCCAATGAAGTGAGCTAGGAAAACTTCCAGAGAAATAAATATCTGTCTGTGTATGTGCCCTGGCCAGAGAGCAACTATATCTGAGAGGGAAATCCCCTTGGTATTTTTGAGAGAAAAGACAAAGTCAAATAAAATGTTTTCTTAGCAGCAGCAGCCAGCAGGCATAGCCCAAATGGCTCAATTCTCTCTCACCTGCTTCAACTCCTGCTTGTCCACATCCCCTACCTGCAAATCTGTTGGTAGAAACCTCTTTCCTGCCCCTGCTCATCACAGGAATGTCATGGTTTATGTTGATACCCTTTTATGGCTTTCTGATAACCCCAAACTGCTGGATCCTTAAGGGTCACTTCTCTGACACTCTGCATAGTTTATTATTTTAGGATTCCAAACTTTTTCCTGGCTCACTAATTCTTCTTGTGCAATGCTATCAACTTTGGCCTCCAACTATGGTGACTATCCATTCTGATATACTTAAACATTACAGCTGGGAACATAAAAGTATGTTCCACAGAGAGTATAGAGAAAGGGTCAGCAAATTGCCACCCATTGGCCAAATCTGTCCTGCTAAATATTTTGGTACTACCTATGCTATAGACTAAATATTTATGTCTCTCCAAATTCATATATTGAAACTTAATCCTCACTATAATGGTACTTGGAGGTCGGGCCTTTGTGAGGTGATTAAGTCATGAGGTCAGAGCCCTCAGAAATGGGTTAGTGTCCAGAGGACATAGATGGCCATCTATGAACCAGGACGCAGGCCCTTACCAAATACCACGTGTGCTGGCATCTTCTCATTGGAATTCATAGCCTCCAGAACCATGAGAAATAAATTTCTTAGCTACCAGCCTAAGATATGCTGTTGTAGCAGCCTGAACAAAATAAGACAAAAATGCAAAGTTCAAATGGCATTTACATTTCTAACTAGCTTGAAACAAATATATTTTCTGCCACAATAATTACATAAAACATTTTTTCTGTTTGTAAATAAAGTTTTATTGGAACAGGACCATGTTTTCTATTTTATATACAGCTAGTCCCCAACTTATGATGGTTTGAGTTACAATTTTTCAGCTTTATAATGGTGCACCAGGGATACCCATTCAGAAGAAACTGTACTTCAAGTACCCATAAAACCATTCTGTTTTTCGCATTCAGTATTCAATAAATTACATAAGAAATTCAACACTTAATTATAAAATAGGCTTTGTGTTAGATAATTTTACCCAATGGTGGGCTTTGTAAGTGTTCTGAGCACATTTAAGGTGGGCTGGGCTAAGATGTGACGTTCAGTAGCTTGGGTGTCTTAAATGCATTTTTGACTTATAATGGGTTTATTGGGATGAAACTCCAATGTAAGTTGAGGAGCACCTGTATATTCTATGGCTACTGTTCTGTTACAGTGGCAGGGCTGAGTAATTGTAACAGAGATTGTATGGCCTAAAAAGAATAAAACGGCTGTCCCTTTACAGACAGTTTTGTTGACAATGGAATAGAGAATAGTCTCAACATATTGCCATAGTGTTTTTGCCATTTATTATATGCATAACTATGTATTCGTTGTATTTTTGGCAATACTTTAATGTAACTAAATCTTTTCAACAGCAATGAGATAAAAGTTTTGTAAAAATATCAAGTACCACATTTCTATTTCTCAAATAAATTGATGATGCATGTAAAATTTGCACAACACATTTGTTGATATTTGCCTTCTGTATTAGTCCATTTTATGTTGCTGATAAAGATATACCCAAGACTGGAAACAAAACTAGGTTTAACAGATTTACCATTTCACATGGCTTGGGAGGCCTCAGGATCATGGCAAAAGGCAAGGAGAAGCAATCATATCTTACATAGATGACAGTGAGCAAAAAGAGGGAGCTTGTGCAGGGAAACTCCCCCTTATACAACTGTCAGATCTCATGAGACTTATTTACTATCACGAAAACAGCATGAGAAAGACCTACTCCCATGATTCAATTAACTCCCACTGTATCCCTCCCACAACACATGGGAACTCAAGATGAGATTTGGGTGGGGACACAGCCAAATCATATCATTCCTCCCCTGGGCCCCCCCAAATCTCATTACCTCACATTTCAAAATGAATTATGCCTTCCCCAAAATCTTAACTCATTTCAGCATTAACTCAAATGTCCGCAGTCCAACTTCTCATCTGAGACAAGGCAAGTCCCTTCTGCCAATAAGCCTATAAAATCAAAAGCAAGTTACTTACTTCCTAGGTACAATGTGGGTACAGGCATTGGGTAAATACAGCCATTCTAAATGGGAGAAATTGGCCAAAACAAAGGGGTTACAGGCCCGATACAAGTCCAAATTTCAGCTGGGCAGTCAAATCTTAAGGCTGTAAAATTATCTCCTTTGACTCCATGTCTCACATCCAGGTCACACTGATGCAAGAGGTGGTTTCCCATGGTCTTGGGCAGCTCCACTCCTGTGGCTTTGCAGGGCACAGCTTCCCTCCTGGCTGCTTTCACGGGCTGGGGTTGAGCATCTGCAGCTTTCCCGGGCACATGGTGTAAGGTATCAGTGGACATAGCATTCTGGGGTCTGGAGGATGGTGGGCCTCTTCTCACAGCCCCACTAGGCCAAGTGCCTCAGTAGAGACTCTGTATGGGAGCTCCAACCCCACATTTTCCTTTCATACTGCCATAGCAGAGGTTATGCATGACAGCATTCCCCCTGCAGCAAACTTCTACCTGGACATCCAGGTGTTTCCATACATCCTCTGAAATCTAAGCAGAGGTTCCCAAACCCCAATTCTTTACTTCTGTGCACTGGCAAGCTCAACACCACATGGAAGCTTCCAAAGCTTGAGGCTGGCACCCTCTGAAGCCACAGCCCAAGCTCTATGTTGGCCCCTTTTGGCCACAACTGGAGTAGCTGGATGCAGAGCACCAAGTCCCTAGGCTGAACACAGCATGGGGACCCTCAGCCCAGCCTACAGAATCACCTCTGATAGGCCCTGTAGACATTTTCCCCATTGTCTTGGGAACTAACATTGGCTCCTCACTACTTATGCAAATTTCTGCAGCCAGCTTGAATTTCCCCTCAGAAAATGGATTTTTCTTTTCTGTCACATTGTCAGGCTGCAAATTTTCTGAACTTTTATGCTCTGCTTCCCTTATAAAACTGAGTGCCTTTAACAGCACCCAAGTCACATCTTGAATGCTTTTCTGCTTAGAAATTCATTCTGCCAGATACCCTAAATCATCTCTCTCAAGTTCCACAAATCTCTAGGGCAGAAGTAAAATGCTACCAGTCTCTTTGCTGAAACATAGCAAGAGTCACCTTTACTCCAGTTTCCAACAAGTTCCTCATCTTCATCTGAGACCACCTCAGCCTGGATTTTATTGCCCATATCATTATCAACATTTTGGTCAAAGCCATTCAACAAGTCTCTAGCAAGTTCCAAACTTTCCCATATTTTCCTGTCTTCTTCTGAGCTCTCCAAACTGTTCCAACCTCTGCTTTTTACCCAGTTCCAAATTGCTTCCACATTTTCAGGTATCTTTTCAGCAGCACCCCACTTTACTGGTACCAATATACTATATTACTCCATTCTCACACTGCTGATAAAGATATACCTGAGACTGGGAACAAAAATATGTTTAATGGAATAACAGTTCCACATGGCTTGGGAGGCTTCACAATCATGGCAGAAGGCAAGGAGGGGCAAGTCATGTCTCACATGGATGGCAGTAGGCAAAAAGAGGGAGCTTGTGTAGGGAAATTTCCCCTTATAAAACCATCAGATTTCATGAGACTTATTCACTATCATGAGAGCAGCACCAGAAAGACCTGACTGCACCATTCAATTACCTCCCACTGGTCCCTCTCACAACATGTGGGAATTCAAGATGAGATTTGGTGGGGACACAGCCAAACCACATCACCTTCCACCAGTGATGTCTCTGACAATGTGAAAAACCAATAAACATTAACCTGCCTCAGCATCTACCTAAAACAGTAGAGTAATTTTAACACGTCTCTGCCTAAAGATAGAAATTTTACCCATCTGGTTGGTTTTGCTCATCAATCTGTGAAGCTTCACTTTCAATGTTGACAAAACACCTATTGTTTTAAATTTATTTATGTTTATTTCAAGTTTCCTTCTGCAGTATAAAAAGAAAGAAAAAAAGCTCATGTGTTTACAGTTAAATTATTATTTTTAATTGATGTTATTAGATGCCTCAAATATGATATCTGTTTTCTTAGTCTATTTTGTGTTGCTATAATAAAATACCACATACTGGATAATTTATAAAACATAGAGAGCTATTTCTTACAGTTCTGAAGACCGGTAATCTCAACAGGGAGGGAGCTAGCATCTGGTCAGGGCTTTCTTGCTGCATAATTTATTGCAAAAGGGAAAGAGAGAGCAAGAGGAAGGAAGCTAAACTCATCCTTTTTATCAGGAACCCGCTCTAAATAACAGCATTAATCCATCAGTGATGGCAGAGCCCTCATAACCTAATCACCTTATAAAGGTCCCACTTATTCATACTTTTCCATTGAAGATTAGGTTTCCAACACATGAATTTTGGGGGCACATGCAAGCCATAATATTCTGCTCATGCTCCCCAAAATTCATGTCCTTCTCTCATGTAAAATACATTTATTAAATCTCAGTAGCCCCAAAGTCTTAACTATTTCCAACACCAACTCAAATGTCCAAATTTCAGAGTCTTATCAGAGATGGGTGAGACTTACAGCATGATTCATCCAGAAGCAAGTTCCTCTATAGCTGTAAGCCTGTGAAATTAACAAGTTATGTGCTTCCAAAATAGTGTTGGAACAAGCATAGGCTAGACATTCCCATTCCAAAATGGAGAAGTAGGCAAGAAAAAAGGAATAAAAATGCCATACTGCCCAAGGTAATGTACAGATTCAATGCTATTCCCATCAAGCTACCACTGGCTTTCTTCACAGAATTGGAAAAAACTACTTTAAAGTTCATATGGAACCAAAAACGAGCCCACATTGCCAGGACAATCCTAAGGAAAAAGAACAAAGCTGGGGGCATCAGGCTACCTGACTTCAAAGTGTACAAGGCTATAGTAACCAAAACAGCATGGTACCGGTACCAAAACAGATATATAGACCAATGGAACAGAAGAGAGACCTCAGAAATAACATCACACATCTACAACCATCTGATTTTTGACAAACCTGACAAAAACAAGAAATGGGGAAAGGATTTACTATTTAATAAATGGTGCTGGGAAAACTGGCTAGCCATATGTAGAAAGCTGAAACTGGATCCCTTCCTTACCTGGTATACAAAAAATAACTCAAGATGGATTAAAGACTTAAATGTAGGATGTAACACCGTAAAAACCCTAGAAGAAAACCAAGGCGATACCATTCAAGACATAGGCATAGGCAAAGCCTTCATGACTAAAACACCAAAAGCAATGGCAACAAAAAGCCAAAATAGACAAATGGGTCTAATTAAACTAAAGAGCTTCTGCACAGCAAAAGAAACTACCATCAGAGCGAACAGGCAACCTACAGAATGGGAGAAAATTTTTGTGACCTGCTCATCTGACAAAGGGCTAATCTCCAGAATCTACAAAGAACTTAAACAAATTTATAAGAAAAAAATCAAAAAACCCCATCAAGGATATGAATAGATACTTCTCAAAAAAAGTCAGTTATGCAGCCAACAGACATATGAAAAAATGCTCATCATCACTGGTCATCAGGGAAATGCAAATCAAAACCACAATGAGATACCATCTCCTGCCAGTTAGAATGGTGATCATTAAAAAGTCAGGCAACAACAGATGCTGGAGAGGATATGGAGAAATAGGAACGCTTTTATACTGTTGGTAGGAGTGTAAATTAGTTCAACATTTGGGGAAGACAGTGTGGCAATTCCTCAAGGATCTAGAACTAGAAATACCACTTGACACAGTGATCCCATTACTGGGTATATACCCAAAGGATTATAAATCATGCTACTAAAGACACATGCACATATATGTTTATTGTGGCATTATTCACAATAGCAAAGACTTGGAACCAACCCAAATGTCCATCAATGATAGACTGGATTAAGAAAATGTGGCACATATACACCGTGGAATATATGCAGCCATAAAAAAGGAGTTCATGTCCTATGCAGGGACATGGATGAAGCTGGAAACCATCATCCTCTGCAAAATGTCACAAGGGCAGAAAACCAAACACCGTGTGTTCTCACTCATAGGTGGGAGTTGAATGAGAACACATGGACACAGGGAGGGGAACATCACACACTGGGGCATATCAGGGGCTGGGGGACTGGGGGAGGGATAGCATTAGGAGAAATACCTAATGTAAATGACGAGTTGATGGACGCAGCAAACCAACATGGCACATGTACACCTATGTAACAAACCTGCACATTGTGCACATGTACCCTATAACTTAAAGTATAATAATAATTTTAAAAATTTCTTTCTCACAGTTCTGCAGACTGGAAAGTGCAAGATGATGGGGTGGTGGGGGAGGTATTTTGTGAGGTCCTTCTTGCTACTTCATCCCATCTTCACATTCAAACAGGTAATAGAATTGCAGGAGAGCCTGTGAGAGAAAGCAAGAGGAATGGGGCAAAACTCATTACTTTATCAGAAACTTATTCTCAAAATAATGTCATTAATCCATTACTGAGGGCAGTTCCTTCATGATTGAATGATCTCTTAAAGGTCTCCCCTTACAACACTTTAATCTGGGATTAATTTTACAACACCTTAACTTTTAGGGACACATTCAAACCATAGCATCTCTTAATCCCAATAGTGGTTCTATTTATATTTTTCATTCAATTCATAGGATCAAATAAATATTTCGGAAATTTGTTAAGTTGAGGGTAAAACATCTGACATTAATAGGAGTGCTCTGAAAATGTAATCTAAAATTTAGCCTATTTAAAATTGAAGATAGAAATTAGTTGCTATTCTGGTGCTAATATAAAAAATTTTGGAGGAGTACATTGTTATGGTAAAAGCAAGGTTCTTTCACAATTAAGAAATCGACAAGGCTTTTATGTACTTGGAATTGTGTTGCACAAGCAGATAATTCCTTGCATAGTAAATAATTGTGACTGTGATGAACAGCCTCCAGTAAATCTACCAATGGGGTTGAATTGATATTTATCAAAAATTACAAATATACTTATAAACATACAGTTGAATTGAAACTACTGTGAAATGTTGACAAATGGATAATCTCAATTACAAAAAATACTTGGTAACAACTCAGGTTTTCCTTCTTTGTATCAAGTATCTATCAAATTATTGAAATGTTAGACACTGAACTCTGTTGAGTTCAGGATACAAAATTAACATACAAAATCAGTAGTTTCATTATGCCACTCGTGAATTATGTGGAAAAGAAATCAGGAAAGCCATCCATTTTACAGTTTTACAGTAGCAGGAAGAACTTTAGCCAAGGAGGTGAGAGATCTTTACGATGAAAACTATAAAACATTGATGAAAGAAATTGAAGAAACACACACACACACACACACACAAACACACATACACACACAAAGACATACCATGTACATACATGGAATAATTAATATTTCTAACATGTGCATACTACCCAGAGTGACCTATAACTTCAATGCAATTTCTATCAAAATCCCAATGACATTCTTTACAAAAAAAGAAAAAATATATATAACCTGAAATCTGTGTGGAACCATGAAAGACCTAGGATATCCACAGCAATCTTGAGCAAGAAGAACAAAACTGTTGACCTCACACTACCAAACTTCACAACATACTACAAAGTTATAGTAACGAAAATAGCATGGTATTGGAATAAAAAGAACACACAGACCAATGGAGCAGAATAGAGGGCACAGAAATAAACCCACACATCTAGGGCTAACTGATTTTTGACAAAGTTGTCAAGTAAAAATAATGAGTAAAGGAAAGCCTTTTCAATAAATGGTAATAAGAAAATTGAATATTCACATGCAGAAGAATAAGACCATACCCTTGTCTCTCACCATACACAAAAATTAACTAAAAATGGAGTAAAGACTTAAATGTAAATACAAAACTACTGCTGCCACTGGCAGCTTGTTCTTTTTAATGTTTTGACATAAAACATGCACATCCATACAGAGATATTTTAAATTAAATCTCCAGTTGTACAAGAGAACATGGGTGATACTTTGGCATCTGAATAATGAGTCTATAAAGAGGTGGCAGCGGAAAAAAATACAAGAAAGGCATCACCATTTTGTCATTAAAGAAAAACATAATAAATTACGTATTATTTCAATAAGATACAAAGAGGAATCTTACAAGTTTCAGTTCATTGTAAAGATGATAATATAAAAATTAAGGTTCTTCATGAGAAACAGGCCAGCAGCTGTGGTATGGGTGATTAAGTAAGAGCTTTTTCTTGTAGATTATATATCCAGGTTACCTTCCAGACTTTTCCACAGAGAAAAACTAAAAGAATACAGAAACATGTTTAAAGTTTATGAAAAATACCTTGAGAACTAAGATCTTCCCTTTACTCTCTCTCTTTCCCTCTCTATTTCTCTCTCATGCTCTTTCTTTATTTCCTTTTCAATAACAATATTGAATTTACAGGAATTCTCTGTAAAGGGACATAATTGCTACCTTATTTCCAACTTTTTGTTCACGTCCCCTTGCATTAATCATCCTATCAGTTTCAATAATGTCTTACATTGAGATGGTGGTGAATAGTAGATTTGTTAAACAGAATTGTATTTTAAATGTAGACATTTGCATATTTTCTCACTAAATTACAAGATACTCAAAGGCAAAGACTTTTCATATTAAAGCAGGGTAGTTCATTGCAATGCAATATGTTTACTACATTAATGATGATTGACCCAAAAGTTAAGTTTAATCTGTTTCCTAAAACATCAAAATTGCAAATAAGTGTGGCAGGGACTATATTAATTTTTAGTTAGTAATTATGTATACTATATTTCTATTAAAACAAATTATTTTTTTTTACTATACTTTAAGTTTTAGGGTACATGTGCACAATGTGCAGGTTAGTTACATATGTATACATGTGCCATGTTGGTGTGCTGCACCCAGTAACTCGTCATTTAACATTAGGTATGCCTCCTAATGCTATCCCTCCCCCCTCCCCCTACCCCACAACAGGCCCCAGTGTGTGATGTTCCCCTTCCTGTGTCTATGTGTTCTCAATGTTCAATTTCCACCTATAAGTGAGAACATGCAGTGTTTCATTTTTTGTCCTTGCAATCGTTTGCTGGAAATGATGGTTTCCAGCTTCATCCATATCCCTACAAAGGACATGAACTCATCATTTTTATGGCTGCATAGTATTCCATGGTGTATATGTGCCATATTTTCTTAATCCAGTCTATCGTTGTTGGACATTTGGGTTGGTTCCAAGTCTTTGCTATTGTGAATAGTGCCGCAATAAACATATGTGTGCATGTGTCTTTAAAACAGCATGATTTATAATCCTTTGGGTATATACCCAGTAGTGGGATGGCTGGGTCAAATGGTATTTCTAGTTCGAGATCCCTGAGGAATCCCCACACTGTCTTCCACAATGGTTGAACTAGTTTACAGTCCCACCAACTGTGTAAAAGTGTTCCTATTTCTCCACATCCTCTCCAGCACCTGTTGTTTCCTGTTTCCTGACTTTTTAATGATTGCCATTCTAACTGGTGTGAGATGGTATCTCATTGTGGTTTTGATTTGCATTTCTCTGATGGCCAGTGATGATGAGCATTTTTTCATGTGTCTTTTGGCTGCATAAATGTCTTCTTTTGAGAAGTGTCTTTTCATATCCTTTGCCCACTTTTTGATGGGGTTGTTTGTTTTTTTCTCGTAAATTTGTATGAGTTCATTGTGGATTCTGGATATTAGTCCTTTGTCAGACGAGTAGATTGCGAACATTTTCTCCCATTCTGTAGGTTGCCTGTTCACTCTGATGGTAGTTTCTTTATTTTTAATAACCACCTACAGTTATTTATTCATTCATTTTAGCTATTACTAAGTTTTAGGTATCCAGTTGAGAACATTATATTTACTTTAGCAAATAAAATACAGGAATTCAAATTCTTGAATTCCAGATAAGCAGAAAAGAAGTTTTAGCTTACATACATCCTGTGCAATATTTGATACCTATATATAGTGACTTGAGTAATGGCCTTGAAAGAAGATATGTTCATGGTGCTAACACCTGTGAAAATGACCTATTTAGAAAAAGGTTTTGTAGATGTAATTAAGGTTCTGGAGATGAGTCATCTTGGAATTAGAAAGGGCCCTAAATGTAGTGGTGAGTGTCCTTATAAAAAGGGAGAAGAACACACACACACACATACACACATGATGTGAACATCGAGGCAATTCGGAGTGAAGCGTCTGCATGCCAAGGGGCACCGAGGACTTCCAGCAGCCACTAGAAACCGGGAGGGAGGCCTGAAATAGATTATCCGTCACAGGCTCAGAAGGAAGCAGACCTGCTGACATCTTCATTTTGGACCTGTAAAATCCTGAACTATGAGTGAGTAGATGTCTGTTGTTTTAAGCCACCCTGTTTGTGTTAATTTGTTATGGCAAACGTAGGAAATTAGTGCACTATTTCAACAACAACAAAAACAAATGTTGTTTATCTAAAATTGAAATTTAACTGGACATCCTGTAGTTTTATTTGCTAAATCTGTTGACCTTGCTTTAGATGGATGATCTCATTAAATGCTCTCTGTAAACATAAGAGCTAGCTGTTATTGTTCTGCTTTACATTAAGGAACTGAACTCTAAGATGTTTTCAAACTAGCCTAATAACTAATCAATCAATGAGCATTTGAGTCAGAATTCAAAAGTGAAACTTTATAATCTTCAGCTCTTAATTAATATGATACCACCTTCTAATATGTCTTGGGGTGAAATTTATGATATAATAAAAACTGAAAAAATGTAGGAACAAACTTATGCATGCATCTTTATTCTAGGATGGGGAAGGGTGGAAGAGAGGAGGAGAAACATAGGGCACCAGAGTATTTGAGGACCTACAGAACAGCAGGAGCTCAAGACGGTCTACCACTGGATACAAAAAAAGAGCCACCAGGCTGGGTAAGGTGGCTCATACCTGTAATCCCAGTACTTTGGGAGGCCGAGGCGGGAGGATCACTTGAGGTCAGGAGTTGAAGACCAGCCTGGCCAGTGTGGTGAAACCTGTTCTCTATTAAAAATACAGAATATTAGTTGGGCTTGGTGGTGCACACCTGTAATCCCAGCTGCTTGGGAAGCTGAGGCATGAGAATTGCTTGAACCCTGGAGGCAGAGGTTGCAGTGAGCTGAGATTGCACCACTACACTATAGCCTGGGAGTGGGGGGAAAGCCAATTCCTGCTGTAAAACTCAGAATATAAGCAGTGGTTGCTCTCACAGAGTAGAAAGGGAATATGCGAAAGCAAATGAATGAAAATGAGCATGGCAAACCACAGCATTTCAAGATACACAATGTGAGTATAGCAGAACGCATGCCTGTTAGATGACTGTATCATCATTCTTTCATTCATATCACTTCTTTGGTAATGTGGTTTTCGTATCTGGATTTCCAGCAACGTCTAGATTAGCTCTTACCTAGAACTGTGAAGATATTTATTCAAAGCCTGGCTCAGTCTAACTTCGCAGACTCTCTTCCCTTTCTCATGTATTGAGAGAGCTGCGCTACAATGTCCCCGAACTTCATTCCACCACGAATGTGGGATAGCCTACAAGGTGGTAAATAATGCTGAAAACAGCCATAAACAGTGAAAAGTAGCTAAGCAAACTGAACCTGCCAGGCTTCAACAGCAGAAACTCTCCAGTTTAGATGTAGTAGAAGTTTTCCTCTTGATTAAGTGCTGTGCTTTAAGACAATTTTTCAACTGTTTTTAACTTCTAAAAAAAGTTGATATTCAGCAGTTTGGAGATACATATGCACTAAGAAATCATATTGCTTTTAAATCTTTAACTTAAAAACAACTCCAAGATGTTTGTGCTGATCTTACACAAATTCTTATAGAAAGTGATTCGGGTTTCAGGCTGAAACCAAACTCCTCACAGTGTAGCGAAACAGAATCAATTATTATTAGACAGCAATGAGTAGGTAAATGTAGAATTAAAGTGGAATCTCTGAGCAGCCCTAAAACCCGGTGTTCTGACAAATGTTGTCTTATTCAGCATGGCTGTCCTTTTGTAAGTGTTCACAAAATGGTGCAAGAAGCATGATAGCTGGCCTCTGAGCACAATTAGACTAAAACTCATGTTGCTTTGAAACAGAAAACAGGTTTTTAAAAATATATATGATTTGGTATGGGATAAGACATTTTTGAAAGATATATCTCTTAAAAGATATATAACTATAAAATGGCTGTATAATTGCAGAATACGTCCTAGAAGATTTTAGTAAAAATATTAGGCAGAATTATTCCTGTGTGCTTACAAATCATTTTTTCCCCACCTAGATACACAAAGAGACCACAGCTTCTAGTTTTCTTGTATTTGAGTGGGGCCCATTCTGGCCATTAAATGTAATGGAACATGTTTGCCGCTCCCAGGTCTAGTTACTAAATTGTTTTTACAAGATTCTCCACACTCTCTCCACGCAGCTGGATGCAGAAGAGAGAGATACAAGACCACATGATGGAAGGGGCCATCCTCACTGACTTCACCACCTGGAAGGAAGCTATGGAGGAGAATTGCCCAAACAAATACAACTGCATCAAATTTTGCCTCTGTAAGAAATAGATCTTTGTTATGCTACAATAGGTCCCTGAGATTTGGATTTTATTTGTTATAGTAGCTAGCATTATTTTTACTTAATAAATGGTTCTTAATAAATGGTTTACTTAATAAATGGTTCTCACGGTTCTGTAAAGCTGCAACATGCTTTTAAAATGTTCAGACACAATGATCAAACAACAGGAAGCCAATAAAGGACTTTATAAAATTTAGTTCTGGATCAGTGCATTATCTGGCCTTTTCTTGGGTCTTTGTTAGACTTTGACATTCTATTAGTGGATTGTTAAGATACCTGCGTGCATTAATACACATTCAATTGTGAGTTTTAAACCCTCTACTCATCTCTCTTTTCAATTTGGAATTAATTTCACTTGTGTGATTAATGGTCTAGGAAAGCGTTTTGATTACATTATCTCATTTGATTCTTGTTAGAAGTTTCACAATTAACACATGAAAGCTATCATTTTTGAAGGTTGCTATATTCCACGTCCTCTTGCTTATACTGGAAGAGTCAGAAACAAAACAAAACTTAGAGGAGTTTCTTTTTTTTCTAATTGCATCTATCTTTCAGTTTCAGTTCTAAAATAATAAAAAATTTGTATAAAAGTTCCCCCAGTTTAATAAGAAAAAATTAAAATATACAATATAGAGTTTTTAAAATGTTTATAACAAATTTTGCCTAATTTTTGTTAGTTGAGAAAATTAAAGTTGATAACTTTTTAAAGTATGTGAAAATCAATATCAAATTAACTTAGATATAGTATGCTTATAGTGGAGTCTGTAAAATCCAGAAATGTGTGTGTAGGTATGTTTGTTAATGATGAGTACTTTTAAGCATTCATAAAAGTAAAGAGGGGTATATTAATTCACCTCTACATAACTGCCAACCATCAGTAGAAATTATCAAGATGTTGTGATATTTGCCACTTCAACCTCCAATCTTATTTTAATTATTTTATATATTCTTTTGTTACAAAGAAAGAAATATATGATGTTACCCATTTATATTTTAACACAAATATAAACAATTTTTGAATGTATTCTTAAAAAACATCAAAAACTTATGAATAATTATTTGTTCTTATCTAATATCTAGGCTACATTTAAATTTTCTCAATAGTCTAAAGTGTATCATTTAACATAATTACGATCCAAACAGATTTTACCTATTATATTTTTTTTAAATAAATATTGACTCTTTAAATGTAAATCCTTCTCCTCAATTTATATATATACATATATTTATTTATTTTAATCATTAAATTAATTTTTGAAAAACCTAGGTTTTGTCCCGTGTACTATCCCATATTCCATAATGGTCTATTTGCTGTTTCAAAATGATACTTAACTTAGTCTTTTGTTCTGTTTTACTTGTAAAAAATAAAATTAGCACTAAATTATTGATTTAACTAAAGTTAGACATTTTTGGCAAGAATACTTCATATGCTGTGCTGTATGCAAATATCAGTTGCAAAATCTTTTTGTATCTCACTTTTGATTAACTTAAATTTCATTAATGGCCTCAGAATCTCAGAAGATGACTGATAGATGACTCCACTGAGAAGTTCTCTCTGTTTGTGTGTGTGCATGTGTATTTAATGAATATTTCATCTAATAATTTCATCCATTGATATTTGTTGCCTGGCAATAAGGTGATTTTTCTAAGCCTATAATTCCTTCTGTTTTAATAATCTATCTTTATTTTATATAAAACTAACCCTCATCAATTATTATTTCACTGAAATGCAGTTTATGTAAGGAAAGCTGAATATATGTTTAACATTTTCCCTTTAATTGCTAATTTTCTGAATGAGATATTTTTCAAAATCTTCCATAGTGAATATAAATTGCACGATTTTATTTATTAATATAATGTTAAAGATTTTTACATATATATTCATGAAAGATACCAATCCATAACTTATTTGTATGTGTGTACGTTTGTGTGTGTGTGTTTCCTTGTCAAGTTTTGGTATAAGACTTAGATCTGCCTCATAAAACAAGAGACAAAGTATTCTCTCCTTAATTCATATCTAAGAGTTTTGAAAATATTTTTAAGTTAATATTTGAAAGTTCTAATAACTTAATTTTTAGAATTTTGTATCATTTTTAAAGTTTTATTTTGGTATAATTAATATAAAAGATTGAACATATTTAATGTATACATTTATTTCAGTTTAAACATATGTATAAACCTGTGATACCATCACCACAACCAAGGCACTATTTTTTTATATATATATATATAAATATATATATAAATTTATATATATAAATATATATATATATTTATATATATAAATATATATATATTTATATATATAAATATATATATATATATAATCTCCTAAAATGTCCTTTGTCCTTTGTCCTTTGTGTGTGTGTGAGTGTGTTTGTGTGCGCTTTTATATGCATTTGTTGTAACAACACATGCCATGATATCTATTCTTTTAAGATATTTTAAAGTGCACAATACTGAAATATTAACTACAGACACTACGTTGTATGGCAGATCTCTAGAATTTACTCATCTTGCAGAACTGAAACTTTATACCCATTGAATTTCAATTCTCCAATTCCCCCTCTTTAGTTATTAATTAATACCATTCTATTTGATGCTTCTATGAATTTGACTATTTTAGATATCTCATATAAGTGGAATCATATATTATTAGCTCTTTTTGTAATCAATTTATTAACTTAGAAAAAATATCCTTTAAATTCCTTCATACTATTGAAACTGGTACAATTTCCTTCTTTTATAAGGCTAAATGATATTTGATTCTATGTATATATGATATTTTCTTTTTCCATTCATCTTTTGATGGACATTTAGATTATTTCTTTCTTCATTATTTACTTTCTGTATCATTTATTTCTGCTCCAGTCTTTATAAATTTCTTCATTTTACTTATTTTGTGTTTACCTTGCTCATCTTAATCTAGACGCTTAACGAAGAATCTTAGGTCATTGACTTTATATAGTTTGTTTCATTTGTAATATCAAAATTAAAAGCTATATTTTTCATTGAGCACTGCTTTATCCACATCCCACATATTCTGATATTTTATTTTTATTGTAAATACATTTGAAATATTTTTTAAAATTTGATTGTAATTTCTTCCTTAACATTTGTCAGCATGTTAAATTTCTAAATCTTTGGGAGGCTTCTGTATTTGCTTTTCAAAGCACTTTCAATTATTTCAGTATCATTTTGATTTGTCAGTTTTCTTTTTGCTATATTCTTTTCATTTTTAAGTGGTTATTCTGGAGAATACAATATCAGACATAATATTTAAACACTATACATAAAATATAAGAACCATGTGATAATGAAGTTTAATTTACCACCATCCCTCTCCTTTATACAAAGTAGTTGTATATGTCATACTGGCATACAAAATAAATCTACAGTGACAGTGTTATTCTTTACTTCTGACTCTGTATCTATTTTAAAGGATTGAGGAAAAAATCACTTTATGTTTACACCCTCCATTTATTATTTCTAGGACTCTGTATTCCTTATCTAAGATTCCCTCTGGTCTTGTTTCCCTTCAGTCTAAAAATCTTCCGATAGCATTTCACATACTGCAGGTCTGCTGGTAAAAATTCCCTTTTATTTGCTTATTTACAATTAAGGACGAATAAAGAAAAATGCCTTATTCTTCCTTAATTGTAAAAAACGTATGAACATAATATTTTGTGTTGAGATGATCATCTTCTTTTGCGATTCTAGATTTGTGTTTCTACTCTCTTCTGGCCTGCATTCTTTCTGATGAGATGTTGGCAGCCATTTCTATTGCCATTTTCCTGTAGGGATCACTGCACTAGTCTCTGGATCCTTTCAAAATTTAACTTTGATTTCTAACAAGATGAACATGTTACTTCTAGCTTTGGACTTACCTTCCTTAGGGTTCACTAAAATTGTTTAATCTATAAATTTATGTATTCTACCACTTGGGGGAACTTTGTGAGCATTACTTGGAACCAACCCAAATGCCCATCAATGATAGGCTGGATAAAGAAAACGTGGCACATATACACCATGGAATACTATGCAGCCATAAAACGGATGAGTTCATGTCCTTTGCAGGCACATGGATGAAGCTGGAAACCATCCTTCTCAGCAAACTAACACAAGAACAGAAAACCAAACACCACATGTTCTCACTCATAAGTGGGAGTTGAACAATGAGAACACATGGACACAGGGAGGGGAACAACACACACTGGGGCCTGTCAGGGGGTGGAGGGTTAGGGGAGGGTTAGCCTTAGGAGAAATACCTAATGTAGATGACAGGTTGATGGGTGCAGCAAACCACCATGGCATGTGTATATCTATGTAACAAACCTGCACGTTCTGCTCACGTACCCCAGAACTTAAAGTATGATTTAAAAAAAAAAGGAAAAAAAATTTCTTTCTGACCCATTTTTACTTGCTTTTCTTCTGGAACTTCAATTATAAGTATGTTATTTTTGATACTGTTCCACATATCACAGAGACTCTGACATATACATGTGTGTATGTGTGTGTGTGTATATTTTTGTTCACAATTCTTCCAATTAAATATATGCATACACACATACATATAGATATGTGCAATACGTGTATATGTGTATATACAGAAATGAGAAAGCTAGAGAGAAAAGACTCTGGATTCTGCATACACATATATACATATGTATATATGTAAACATATATAGCATTAGTTCTTTATATATACACACACATAAATTATATATGCATATGTATATATACACACATATATACATTATGAACCCATATATAAACGTGTATCTGTATAAACATGTATCTATGTAAACCCATATATAAACATGTATCTATGTATTTAACCCAAACATAAACATGTACAATGTATACATTATATACATGTGTATATATAATTACTATAATACACGCATATATGGATCAACAATATATGTATATATGTATATATAATGCATATATGTATGTGTGTATATGCACATATGCAAATATATCTACATATATACTATGTATAAATGTGTCAATTATATATGTATATGTGTATATAGATACATATATGTATGTATATAGATACATATATACAGCATATACTGTATATATGTATATAGATACATATATAAAGTATGAGCTGTATATATGTATATGTGTATATACACATACACTGTATATATGTATATACACATACACTGTATATATGTATATACACATACACTGTATATATGTATATACACATACACTGTATATATGTAAATACACATACACTGTATATATGTATATACACATACACTGTATATATGTATATACACATACACTGTATATATGTATATACACATACACTGTATATATGTATATACACATACACTGTATATATGTATATACACATACACTGTATATATGTATATACACATACACTGTATATATGTATATACACATACACTGTATATATGTATATACACATATACTGTATATATGTATATACACATATACTGTATATATGTATACAGTATATACACTGTATAATTTATACAGTGTATAATATACTGTATATAGTATATACAGTATGTACACTGTATGTACGTGTGTGTATATATACATATATAGGAAGGAGATGTGTATAATATATATTTGCTCACAATTCTTCCAATTGAATAATTTGTATAGATTAATCTATCTTCAACTTCACTGATTCATTTTTAAATTTCAATGTTGGTAACTGCATGAAATTAATGTACATATATGTTTTTTAAATTCAAATGTATTTTTCATTTCCAGAAATCCCATTTTGTTCTTTATAGTTTCTATTTTTTTACTAAGATTTATTTTACTTGTTTATTCATCATGAGCATCTTTTTTATTATTCTTGAGCATGATTATAACAGCTGCTTTAAAATCATCATCTGCATATTTTATCACCTGTCATTTCATGGTTGATCTTTTCTTGTCTCTTATATATGAGTCATATTTTCCTCTTTTTCATATATCTAACAATTTGGATAATTTAAAATCATATCTTGGGCCTTGTGAACAATATATTTTAGAAATTCTGTTACGTTCCTCTCAACACTATTAATTTTGTTTTTATTTTGCTTTGCTTTGCTTTCTCCAGCAGTCAGTTGACTCGACTGAACTCAACCTCTAGTGTCTCTACTACACAGGGCAATAGTTGAAATATATGTTTTAACCTTAGCTGGAATGCTAAAAATCTGCCCCACACATGTGTAGTTCAAAAATCAGTGAAAGCTTTGGGCAGACACTGTATGCAGAATTCATAGCCTTTTCTGTCTAGCTGTCTCATTTCTGCAATATTCACTACATGTTCCAGATGTTGTCATTGCCTAGTACCCTGTCCTCTAGTTTTTAAAACCATAAAGATTTCAAGTTTCTCTTCAAGTTCTAGGTACCCCTCATACCCGAATAGAGGCTACCCTCAGTCCAAGCATTATCAAAAGAAGCGCCTCTTTTCTAAGGTTAGAGTTTCCTCTAGTTTCTGCCAAATGTTATCACTCCTCTGTGTCTGTAATTGGTTTCCATTTTATGTTTTAAGAGTGTAAGAAGTTATTTATGGGATGATAAAACCACTAGGAGCTACTCCACCACTACCAGATGTGAAAGTTTTTCTCAGTGTAGTTTTAATTTGCATTCTTTTCATATTAGAGGAAAAATACACTACAACATACCTTTTTTTAAGTTTAATGGTAAACATTTATTCTTCTGTGAACTATTTGTTCATATATTGCCCATTTTTGTATCTTGTGGGTAATTGTCTCTGTCATTTTAAAAGTTATTTATATATTAATGAGACACTCCTGAATCTATAAATCTTATATTTTTATTTTTACTTCATTTAGGATTGTTAGCCACAGTTAGGCTTTTAATAATTGTGTATTAAATGAATAAATACATAATTAGACACATTGATCCAATATATGGTATAGATATTATGTTAATGGAGATATCTTTAAATTCATGAGGAGAGATCTATAACTTCATGGGGAAGTTAGTAGACCTTTAAAGTTAACAGACGTGTTTAATCTTTAAGGTAAAGTTTAAAGCACTTTATTATTGAGCTGGAATTCTGAATTTCCAACTAAATTTTACAGCATTACTGTATCCTGAACTTGATGACATGGTGGTAAATTTCAATTGAGACTTTGACTTTCTGCCTGGCTATGCATATACTGTTTAATATTTTTTTGTATGCATTTGCACCTCACTTTCTGATTTCTTAGAGTGAGGGTCTTAGAGGGAAAATAATATAATGAATGTGCATAATAACAAGCCCATAATATAAAATAAAATATACACTTAGCAATATATAATTCATCAGTCGAGGCTTTGTCCTTTCTTCTAGACTTGTTTTCATAATTATGCTTTCATTATTTCTAATGAGCTGTCAATTACCTATACAAATTAAGTGCAGCAGACATTAAAAGGTGTTTATATTAGTATCATAATAACAGTGCTATGATTTTATGAGATGGCTGTGATTCATGCAAGCTTTTAACAAAGGGCCTATACCTAAGGCTGCTATTTATTTTTGTCAATGATGTATATCTGCTTTCAAGAAAAATTTATAAATAGAATTGTAAATCTTGAATGGAAATTTAGAATCTCCCCAATTTTGTATTTTATAAGGCCACACGACTGTTGCCACAATTAGGCTGCTAAACACCCCAAAATGTGGCATTTTGGTTACTAATGATAAGCTGAGTGTGGAATATTTTCCCCTATCCACTTCTATTATGTCAACATCTACTACTGTGGACTTCCTTGACTCCAGCTTTGCTACTTCTTTTCAATCTATGACTAGTCCTTCATGCTCTCCCTAGGTAGGACTGCCCCAAGGCAGCTAGCTCATACCTTAGATGACTCTGTCAGCCAATTTACTTTATATTTTTTAGGTAAAGAAATAGAATTTATCCTGTGAATGGAGTACTTTGAGATCAAACAGCGATGTGGACCTTGATTCCATCTGTCTTACCTTGTAATTCAGGATATGTACATGGTATAGAATTGTGACTTTGTTTGATTAGATTTCCCTATAAAAGGTATACCATGGCTTTTACAGTCATTCACATCCTCAAAGACTTTGAATAGAACTTACAAAATATGACTCAGAGAAAAATAACTGCCATAAAATATAGAATGTCTATATTGCTTATAGCAGTGTATTATCTATTTGATAAGGGAAATAGTAAATTTATTTTTTCCATATATAACCCAAACTGGAGAAATGTGTATATTTGACTTTTGGGGAAGTAAAAGTTGAAAATTTTAGTGCTATGTTAAAAAGTATTACATGACCTATGAAAACTAGCTGTTTTTCACATGCTATATAGAGAAGATGAAAGCTTATGGTTGGAGGTAAGGGGTTTAGTGCAATGTCTAGCCAGAACCAAAAAACAAAAAACAAAAAACAAAAAAACTTGAGTTTGTATAAAGGGGCACTGCCAAGGCAGTAAAAAGTTCTGTTGAACGACAACAGCAACATAATGGAGTTAACTATCAAATAGTGTGTGCATGACTGTCCATGAGAACATTATAGATACAGAGAGGAGCTTTTATCTTTGGGTAGTAATTTTATTTTAAATACTGATAATATTATTCCCCTAATCACTTCAGAAGTAGTGCCAAAAATTATAGTATCTTCATGTGTGCCACAGACAACTTTCTGGGATCAATTAGTATGAGATGCTATATAGGCTTGCTTTTTAATGAAACAGGTATAAAAAAATCCACATGTGGATTGAGTGAGCGAGCCTCATTCTCCCCACAGTCACAAGTGAGTGAGCACGATACCATGCATAGATGGCATGGAATGGAATTGCCAGCATTAACACCAACATCAACAAAGTATAGACGGGAAAAGTTCCAGTTTAGATGAATGAAAGCTAACAGCTATAACATCAGTGCAGATGACGTAGAGTCTTTGATATGATGTCCTACCTCACCTAACTTAATTGGGAGTTAATTCCGATAGTAATGAAAATCCCCACTGATGTAGAATAGATAAGTCAGTTGAGAAGATAGAAATTTTAGAATCATCCCATTTACAGTGTTAGAAAACATGTATTAATAGTCAAAAATGGAAGCTTTGATGGTAATTTCAACAGTCTTTATGCCAGAACAAACAGACCAAAGGGAAATCATTAAAGTACTCTTTAGGAAGATGCATAGACAATATAAGCAAACAAGCTCCTATGTACGTGCTACGAAAATAAACAGGCAAGGACAAACCCTAAGTTTCTTGCCTGTTTTTCTGGTTAGATATTGAGATTAACTATGAAAATTATAAATTCAATATTTTGGGGATATTTTATGTATGCCGTGCCTAGCTGTGCCTCAGTGTGAGGTTATGTTGGTTAAAAAAGACATGCAGCATTTGCTTTGGTACATACTGATTTTATAATGTCTGAAATATATAATCTAGTTGTCTAGCACAGTGGTGGGTTTGTAAATTTGATGTGAATTGGGGGCTAAATATAGAAATCTGGGAGTTTTGCTAACAGTAAAATAGTAACTAGTGTATTTCCCAGACTTGCATAGAGAGAAACTGGGCAAAAAGGGCTTGCCTACTAAGATTAAAATTTATGAAATCTTTAAAACCTACTCACTATAGACAAGTTTCAATGAACTATTTCTTCTTTCATTTGTAGGAGTCTAAATGTAAACAAAATATTCCCCATAAGTAATCCTTCATAGAACATGAAAAAACAACCATAATTTATGATTCATAGAAATGTTCACTTTCTTAGTATGATGTTAATGGATTTTTTTTTGCGAGAGAAATAGAGAGTGGGAATGATGAATCATGAAAACCGGCAATTTACTTAGGATAGGTGTATTTCCTTCCAACCATTGTCCTGTAAATGATATACTTGTTTTATAAATAGTGGCCTAATTGTCAATTAAAGACAGCAGGAGACATAGGCAAGGTGATTAGACCATGATGTAATCAAGACAATAAGACGCATCAAAAGCATTTCAAAGGAAGGAACCAATTTCATAATTAGATACCTTGGCTACTAAACAGTAAAGTCAAAGAAACACATGGAAAAGGAAGCCATTCAACAAAACAATTGAATGGTTTTGTGAATTATAACAACCTACGTGTAATCTGCTTCTCTGAACAAAGGCAATAATTTCTTCTTGTTCATGATAAGTGACATTGAAACAAAAAAACGTAGGTTTGCTTAAGAATGGTGATTGAGATTTAGAGTTGGAGAATAAAGAAGAAAGCAAAACATTAAATAATTGGTTCCCATCTCTTTGTGCAAAGGAGGAAAGGAAGGCATGGATCTTGTACCCAAGTGAAAGATGGCCCAGGACGGCTAAGAGAAGGTATGTCCAAAAGAACAACAGAGTATTGGAGGGTACGATACTAGATTTTTAAGAAGATTTTAATTCAAACGAAGTTGCTACTTCTCAAAAATCTCAGTTAAGAATCAAATGATGGCTAAATTCATCCTTATCAGGTAAAGCACATTTTGATGGAACTGCAGCTCCAGCTCAAGGAAAAAGCATGATACCAAAGCCCCAGACCTAGTTCACTACGATTTGGGCTATGACCATGGAAACAACACGAGTATGCATACTGCTGCGTATTTTTTTATCTCTTTTGTTTGTCCTCCTTACTTATTTTTGATAAATATAAGCCAAGAGAATTCTTCTTCACATGGTTGTTATTGAACCCACTCGATCATCATTTTATAAAGTTTCTAGAAAAAGCAAAGAATATAAAGTCACTTTCTGAATTAAAAGAATCATAGAATAGCCTTAAAAGACACACTAAAATTACTAGCCTGGGGCAAATGTTGTTTATAAAATTTACCAAAGAAATCAGTATGGGAACTGATAAGTGATATACAGAGGAAAAGTGGAGAGAGGCTATAGTTATAGTGAAAGACCATTATTTAGAGAGGTATTTTGCTGATAAGAGGCAGAGACAGAATCAACAGACCAGGCAAGTGAAAGGGGAAGTGGGTTACTATAATCTGGAAGCATGAAGAAACATTTTCTTTGCTAGCTGGCCCGTCTTATCCAACTTCTTAAAATGTTCAGTTTCCAGAAATATTGCCAAGGGATCAAGCTAAATACTGGTGCATGTATTAACAAATTCATGTATGCATTCATATAAGGTTCTGAAAACTAATCAGTAAAAATATGTTGAGTGTGCATGTGTGGGGTGTGTGTATGTGTATACACATGCACACTATTTCTACCCCAGGAATCTTACTCTTTATTGAGAGTAAAACATGGAAACAGACGACTTGGGGTAATAAATGCTTACCACAAAGGTAAGTGATGATTGTGAATACACCAGGTAGCAGGGAGCAGGGGAAAGTGTCTCAAATAGTCTAAGTAAAGAGCAGAGCAGCCCTAGGGAATGTGTGTGTTTGGGGTGGGAGGTGGCGGGGAGAGAAACGTGTAGTGTATCCACACAACAGACATGCCATAATTTATAAGGATAATGCCAATTTTGAATCTATGGAAGAGAAAAAAAAGGAAAGTGCAAAGCTATTCAAAGATGGACTGAACTGCATTTGGGAGGGTTGTGGACGTTGTGAGAAAATGAGGTGGATGGAGAACTGGGTGGAGAAAATTGGTGGGATATGCAATCTTTTTGTTTTGTTTCTTTTTTTTGAAGTTTTAACCTAGCTATATTTTATTTGATGTGATGCCTTTCAGCTATCAGATTTATATGAGACAAAAATAATGGTAAAAATTCCAAAAATAAATACTATGTGATATATTCCAGCACTGTTATAAATTTATTGAATCTATTAACTTATTTTAATCATCACCCCTCCACAAGATCACTCTACTCTTATGAGGCCCATTTTATAGATATGTTGTCACAGGATTTGAATTATTTGTCCTGTCTTTATTGGTTCCATTGGTATAACATTATTGGACCTAAGAAAAATATTAAGAGAAACCCAGAAAACCCCCTACATCCTACACAATAACTAATTTGTCCTTGGTAATCAGGATCAAATGACCCTAGTTAAGATAACTCATTTTCCTTAGTAACACAAGCATACAAGTGGTCAGGGCATATTTTCAGCTTCCATCTAAGGGACTTCCAACCAATCAAACTCAAGGTTGTGAAGAAGGTGAACAAAAATTGTATAAGATAGTTATTATTTTGTAATAGTGAAAGAGACCACCCATACATCTCTCCCTAGGAAATGGATTCATGTATTTTGACTAAGAGGAAAATGGCAAGATATACCCACCTATTATGTGTAGCCTGTTCTACATCCTGTAAAACAGCATCCCAAGTCCTCTGGTGGTGTTTCTCTAAGGTGATAACTACTAAACGTCACTAGGGCATTTCATTATCCTAACAAGCCAGCTGTTTCTGGTGATGATATATGTGATAAGATCAGTGAATCCCATGGGCATCAGTGCATTTTCAAACTTTGCTTGCTGCAACGTTACCATTATTCTCTTGTAAAAAGCAATGTCGAGTGGAAGAACACCAATGTGAACAAGACATACATTGAGTAGCGATGATGGCAGGGGATGTGGGGGCAGGAAAGGCAAATCTATATTTATTCCTGTGAGACAAATCACTGTCCTTAATAGAAGGGGACCAGTGCAATCAGCCTGCTCCCAGATGGCTGGTTAATACACTCATGGTGCATTATCAGGGTTCAGCTTTAGCCTCTGCTTTTGGCAACTCAGGCACTCATTAGCAGCCACATTGTTGAGTCTATGTATAGCACTCTTCTCTGTCTGTACTCAGCACACAAGGCCCATATAGCAAATGGCCAGAGTGCCAGAGGAAAGACCGGCATTTATAGAATGTGTCATTTTTCCACCTGCTTATTAAATAAAATCCAGGCAGTTGAGCTGTTGAATTTCAGTTAAGCCTTTTTCAAGGCTTTTATATAGGCAAGGGTATTATGTCTACTGTATCTATTCTGAGAGATGCATAATTATGGCTCTGGGTCCTACCGTCTTATCATCAATAATCTCATCCTGTTCTTTATAAGCCTTTGATCACCTAAAACAACTTTCATAACATGCAAAGTAGAAAATCTGGCACTCTATTAGAAAATCAGACACTGAGAAGACTTTTTATTTTTGCATTCCCTCTGAGTATGATGTACAGCAGATTGTATTTTCCAAACATGGGGGTACGTATTTTTATACAGTCCATCTTCATCACTTATGGATTCCATATTTGATAATTTGTCCACTTGCTAAAATGTATTTGTAACATGAAAATTAATAATCTCTGTGTTTTCCTTGTTATTGGCAAAAAGTTTGAGTTGCCCAACACATACGTTACCAGTGGGGTGAAATGAGGCAATGCGTTGCTTTCTTGTTTCTACTCCCAGGCTGTAAACAAGTGTCTTTTTGATATCTGTGCAGTGCTATGTTTCTCTTTTTTATTTTTTGTGCTTTCTGTTTGTGATTTTGCTCTTTAAAATGATCCCCAAGTGCAGGCCTGATGTGTCGTCTAGTGTCCCTAAGCACAAGGCAGTTGTTATGTGCCTTATAGGGCAAAAACACGTTTATTGAAATAAGCTTCTTTCAGGCACGAATTATAGAGCTGTTGTCTGTGAGTTTAATGTTAGTGAATCAACAATATGTACTAAACATGGTGTCTTTAAACAGAAGCACACCTAAAACAAGGTTGTGCATTGATCCTTTGATAGAAATGTATGACTTGAGGCTCCCACTATTCTAATGAAGAGATTAGTACCTGTTTCCTTCTTTGAAAATGGAATCTGCTAAAGTCTGGTCTTACATAATTACTTCCCTGCATGGATGAAACACTACTGTGTATATTCAGCTTTATTATGTTTATTTTAATTTTACTGAAGACCTTATACTGCATCCCTATCCAACACATCACATAAAGTACCCTTAGAATCCACTGGATCATGAGGACCATATGTCAGGGAAGCTTGTTTCAAATAATTAACCTGTATTATAGCCCACAAAACTGTCAATTCTATGGAAAACAGTATAGTGGCTACTCAAAACGTTATAAATAGAATTACTCTGTGATCCAGTAATTCTACTTTAACTATATACTCAAAGAGTTAAAAACAGGATCTCAAGGAGATACTTATGCATCTGTCTTCATAGCAGCATTATTTGCAATAGCCAAAATGTGAAAGCAACTCAAGTGACCATCCACAGATAAATGGACAAACACAATGTAATATACCCATATGATGGGATATTATTCAGCTTTAGAAAGGAAGGAAATTCTGAAACATGCTACAACATAGATGAATCTTGAGGCCATTACGCTGAGTGAAATAAACCAGCCACGAAAAGACAAACACCATAGTATTTCACTTATATGAAGTACCTAGGTCAAATTCATAGAAAAAAAAGTAGCATCATGTTTCCCAGAGGCTGGAAAAAGGAAGAGATAGGCGGTTATTGTTAATGGGTGTAGAGTTTCAGTTCTGGAAAATGAAAGGAGTCCTGGAGATTTGTTGCACACCAATATAAATGCATTTAACACTACAGAATTGCACACTTAAAGGAGTTAAGATGGTACATTTTATGTTATGTATATTTTAACACAAGTATTTTGAAAAATGATCAGTGGTTGCCCGGGTTTTGGGTAGGGAAAGATGGATAAATAGCTGGAGCACAAGAGATTTTTAGGTCAATGAAACTTCTGCATGACACTCCAATGATGGATACATGATGTTATGCATTTATCAAAACCCACAGAACATTCTAATACAGAGTGAACCCTAATCTAAACTGTGGACTTTAGTTAATAATTGTGTATTCATATTGGCCAATCAATTGAAATGATTGTACCACATTAATACAAGATGTTAATTACAGAGAAGATTATGTTGGAGACAAAGAAATATAATAAAACTTTTTGTACTTTTCTGCTCAATTTTTATGAAATCTAAAAACTCTCTAATAAATAAAGTCTATTAACTTAAATCAATTGTCAGACTTACAAGTTTTTCTATAAATGGAGCAGAGCAGCATACACTCATGTGGTATATCTATCTCCCAAACCCAAATTTCCAAACAAGAATTATACTTTATTTATTTATTTATTTTTGCTATGACAAATGGTGTGGGGTACAGGAAAATGTCATTTACTTTAGAAGCTGTATCCAAACCTGTTTCAGACAATTAACCCCCTAGAAACTTTATTGATGTATAAATACTACTGAAATTTCTCTGGCATAATATCTCCAATTTAAGCATTTAAGGTTTTGTATGTCTCTCTCACATAATCCAATGAGCATAAAATCATTTACGTTATGTAACCAACAGCATGATATACTGGAAGAAATTAATGTGACTAAATTTTTTACAGAATATATAAAGAAAAAGCATATTAAAGTTCATATAGTCCTAAAATAACTGAGTAAAGAAGTATTGCTGTTCTTGCCTGGTAAAGTGGATGATTTCCACTTTATATTAATTGGGAATTAATATAAATTAACTTTATATTAATTGGGAATTAATATAAATTAACTTTATATTAATTGGGAATTAATATAAATTAACTTTATATTAATTGGGAATTAATATAAATTAACTTTATATTAATTGGGAATTAATATAAATTAACTTTATATTAATTGGGAATTCCACTTTATATTAATTGGGAATGCATATATTAATTGGGAATGAGAAACAAAACATTTGATAAGTCAATTGGTAGCTGTGTATTTGTTGTTGTTGTTGTTGTTTTTCTTTTTTTTTTGCCAGGAGCTGTTGATTTGCTTTGTAAAGAGTTTACATCTGGAACACATCCTGTGATTAGTGCTAACATGTGATAAAGTTTACTGTAATTCACAGTCATGCTTCAAAATCAATGTTGGCTTTTACTCAACCTGCTAAGGAATGAAAATGGAGATCCCGTTCAGTTGCTAAATAGTTCTATTCCAACTGCACATTGAGAAACTAGGGAAATAACCACAGAATGGACCTACTATGGACCCACTGCGTTACCCACTCAGGCCAAGTGTCCATTACTGCCTGATTTCCATAAGTTCTCACCCTGACCACAAAGGCATTTTGGGTTCTGAAGGGTTGGTGTTAACTCAGAACCCCAGAAGGTCTGGGTATATGTCTTTCTCCAAAACACTTAAGTCGTCACTTAATATTGTTGATAGATTACTGGAAACTGTGACTTTAAGTAAAATGAAGCATGATTAAACCAGTTTTATCATAGGCTAGTTGATACGAACAAGTGTCAACTTCCTGTGGCATATTTCTGATGACAAAAACATCATGAAACTTCTAAATAAAGACCCCAGACACTTCAAACTTTAAACATTGAAATGAATGTGAGCTATACATATATTTAAGATAAATTAATAAAAGCCGGTAAGATAATTATTTACTCAATTTTTGGTGAATCAGTGAGTGGTGACAGTTGTAGCAGTAGTGGGTTAAATCAATGGATAAATGTTTGCAAATCAAAAATTGTAAGGAGCACCTCCTGGCACCACGCATTTCAACATCAAACAATCACAAATGTGGCGAGCTTGCTGAATGCTTTCCTACTGCATCGTTTATTGTTGTGCCTTTATGCAATTATTGTGGGCTTTCCAAATGTTTAGTTTACAATCATTTGTATTCAATCAATCATCATTTTCCAAACTGTTTATTCCAGTTCAGGGTCTCAGGTGACTGGAACCTATTCCAGTAGCTCAAGGCGGGCACCAACCATGGAAGGACGTCATTTCATCACAGGGTTCGCTTACACCAACACCCACACTCACTCAGACTGTGACAGTGTAGAAACGCCAACTCACAGAACATACACAGCTTTCGGATGGGGGAGAAAACTGTGGTACGTGGAGAAAACCCACAGATATGGGGAGAATATAAAACCTAGCAAATGCAAAATATACAGCTGATAGAATAAACATTGTAATCGATATAATTCTGAAAATAAGGCAAACCACAGGAGTCTTTATTTTTTTATGGAGGTATTTAGGTTTATGTATTACTTGGTAAATTCTCTGTTGCCTTTGACAGCACCTCACTGAGCATAAAATTGCCAGAAAGGTGGGAAGGAATTAAGCACTGTGAGTAATATCCTTTGTAATGTCTGACAGAGAAAGGTTAAGGGAATTTTATTTGCTATAAAGAGATGGAAATAAATTAGTTGAAGACACCATGGAAAATCAGGGAGGCAGAAACAGATAGTGATAAGATCCAGGAAAGAAATATGAGATTATAAAAAATAGACATTTTAATTCATAGAATAATAAATGTGAGAAGAATTTTAAAGGAGAGACCTAACGCAAAAAGCATCAAGATTTTTCAACTTAAGTTAGAAAGGGTTGGATGAGTTTATAAGACAAGTCAGTTGTTATGAGTTTTTGTTATTTATTTATATACTTTAATGGGCAGGAAACAAATAAACCGAAGCAAACTTAGGACCTAGAAATCTCTTTAACATTCTGAGAAGACAGAAAGTAGAGAAGAAAAAAAAAAGAGTTTGAAATGGAGTTTTCTGAAATCTTTTCTATAATCTGACTCTCTTACAAGTCGTAATGATTATTGAAACATTTATATCAAGCCCTTTTCACCTTGTGTTTCTCTTTTTATGAAAAAGTGGGTTCTTGTTAGCTATTAATATATTATTATATTAACTGAATACAGGCCTTATATGTTGGTAATAGATAGAAAGATCACCTTTTGTGCTGGGAAGAAAACATGAATGGCAGAGCAGAAGTCAATTTTTTGTGCTGTAGTCTGATGAGCAGGGCTAGGGCTACATGAAGTTGAAGTCATATTACCTAGGCTTTAGACCTACAGGCATACAGTTTCAGAGATAAACCCAAGAATGAAGAGGAAGGGCAGGTGAGGTCACGACTGATCAATCACATATGCCTTGAGATGGGGATGTGGACTTGGGAAGGGGCTGGTGGTAGCAGCGGTGGGACATCACACCTAGATGCCTGGGGGAATTTGCACTTGACTCCACTAAGTGCACTATCCCAGTTTTATGGATCTAAGTTATCCGCATCAGTTAGGAAAAATTCTGATGCAAGCCAAAGCATACCTCAAACTGGCTTAGACAATAGAAGTTAGTTACTGGATTTATTGGTTTATTTACTGTACATTCCAGGATTGGAGGTGGCTTTGGTTTGAGAGAAACTCAGAAGGTCAGAAATTCACTTAAGCGTATGATTACTTCCTCTTCCTACTGCCTCCCATGGAGTCATCTTTATCCTAATGTTGGCTCTCCACTGTGGACCCAGATAATTGGCAAGAATGGAAGAAGGCTTGCTGCTGGAGCTGCTGGAGCTGGGGATCCCAGCCATTCACCTCCTGCTCACTGGGGAAGATTTCTCTAAGGAATATTTGTGACATGCAGAAGAATGAAGAGTGGGATCCTTGTAGGAAACCACAGACATCTGCTCATCCTGAAACTCTGAGGCTATTGTCTGAACTCAAAGGCAATATTTTTTAAAGTCACAATTACTCAAGAGTTTTTAGAACAGAGGTCACCTGCTTTCAGACTGCACCTAATTCATAATAACATTTTAAAAACATTTGTATAATTATTTACAAATAAAATTACTCATCAATTCCCCTTCTTTCCCCTACTCCCAACTATAAGCCAAGTTCAACATTTTATTCTCCTTTCTTTCCTCAATACATGCATAGACAGTGCAGAAGCATAAGAATGGGCATAATGTATGTACCATCGGACAAGTGCTACCTTGAGCCTTAATACCTATTAGTGTTTTCATTGTCTTAAAATTATAAGATAGAGTCTATGACTGATTCCATTCTGCAGATAAGAAAAGTGGCACGACATGCAGCTGAATACTGGCAGAACTAAGATACAAACCCTGGCAACTCACTACAAATTCTTTGGTTTTAATACTTTTAAAATACTTTCTTGAAAGAAATTAATAAATTGGTTATTTCATAATTACATCAATGAATGACTGAATCAACTAATGAATGAAAAATAAAAAGACAAAAAATGTCTCTGTCTGCATATTCTATACATATGTGTGTTCTCCTTACAGATAGTGTACCAAAAACGGGTTAGATTCTTAAGAAATACGATTTCAAGCTCAAACAGTGTCCTTAATTTTCTGTCGAATTTTAGGGAATTTTTAAACTACTCAGGGTCCCTGTCAATAAAACCACTAAATGTGTGTTGAAATTCTGTCCTTTCTACTTCAGAGGACATTTTTGTGGATACAAGAAGAGAATACATTGTAAGTATATTGGAAACTGTAAAGCATCATACAAATATAACGTATACACCTGTAACACTTTTCATGTCGTAAAGTTGTTTCCCCATGATGAAATGTTGAAAATGTTGATGAATAATACCAGAAATATATAGTCTAGAGGCCTGCCATAATCATTACAGTTTAGAATTTTAGAGCTAGAGGCCCTTTAGAGATCATTTATTTTGAGCTCTCATTTTTCATATTGAGATCGATTCAGGGTCATTTTGTCTATGGGGCACAGGATCCTCAATATAAAACAGTCCTGCTCAAATCCTCAGGTATCTTAATGTCATTGCATCAAAAGGTTAGAATGTCTGGCTGCCATCAGAGGCTCCTCACATTACCCTGAGCTAATAATTACTTGTATTCAATAAGTACTCAATAAGCTTTTATTCGATGAGTAAATTGTAATTTCTTAGCAATTAGGCAGCTGACTATATCCCTTAATCTGAATAAATTAAAAGCAGCTGTTTCTGGGAAGTATGTATCCTAGACAAAGTTTAGGCTCCCTAACATGTCCTCATTACCTTCTAGCTGGATAAACTTGGCCCATTCTCTTTACTTGTCTCTAGTTACGAAGGGCTCATCTTCCATGTGGTTCAAGTAAATATGGCAGTGTTTTAGGTAGATGTGGAACTCATAAGAATTTAAGGGAATGGCAGCTGAATTCGTTAGCCACACCACAACACTGCTGCATAACCAAACATCCCAAACTCAGCAGAAAGCGCTTAGTACCAGGCACAACGTTCTGCAACCCATTCAGGGGCAATTATACACCTGGCTGCTGGACTGTGATACCAGGTGAAATATCTCTGATATGGTTTGGCTGTGTCCCCATCCAAAATCTCATCTTGAATTGTAATCCCCATAGTCCTCAAGTGCCAAGGGTGGGACCAGGTGGAGGTAATTGGATCACAGGGGCTGTTTCTCCCATGCTGTTCTCATAATAGTGAGTGAGTCTCACAAGATCTCATGGTTTTATAAGCATCTGGCATTTCCCCTGCTTGCACTCACTGTCTCTCCTGCTGTCCTGTAAAGAGGTGCCTTCCACCATGATTGCAAGTTTCCTGAGGCCTCCCCAGCCATGTGGAACTATGAGTCAAGTAAACCTCTTTTCTTTTAAATTATCCAGTCTCACGTACTTATTAATGGCAGCAAGAAAAGAGGCTAATACACTAAATTGGTACTGCAGAGAGTGGGATGCTACTATTAAGATACACAAAAATGTAAAACTGACTTTGGAACTGGGTAACAAGTAGAGGTTGAATCAGTTTGGAGGCCTCAGAAGAAGGCAGGGAGATGTGGAAAAGTTTGGAACTTCCTAGAAACTTGTGGAATGGCTTCGACCAAAATGCTGATAGTGATATGGACAATGAAGTCCAGGCTGAAGTGGTCTCAGATGGAGATGAGGAACTTGTGAACTGGAGTAAAGTTCACCCTTGCTATCCTTCAGCAAAGAAACTAGTGTCACCTTGCCCCTGCTCTAGAGATCTGTGGAACTTTGAACTTGAGAGAGATGATTTAGGGTATCTGACAGAATAAATTTCTTTCCTTCTTTCCTTCTTTCTTTCTCTCTTTCTCTTTCTTTCTTTCCTTCTTTCAGACGGAGTTTCACTCCTGTTGCCCAGGCTGGAGTGCAATGGCGTGATCTTGGCTCACCGCAACTTCCACCTCCAGGGTTCAAGTAACTCTCGTGCCTCAGCCTCCCGAGTAGCTGGGATTACAGGCATGCACCACCATCCCAGCTAATTTTGTATTTTTAGTAGAGATGGGGTTTCTCCATGTTGGTCAGGCTGGTCTCCAACTCCTGACCTCAGGTGATCCGCCTGCCTCGGCCTCCCAAAGTGCTGGGATTACAGGCGTGAGCCACCATGCTCAGACTAAATGCATGATTTGGCTCTTAGGAACAAGATTTCTTCCAAGGTTTTTGAGGTCAGTTCCTCTCAAGGTCCTTCCTGAACTGCATTGCCTATTCATAGTTTTACTTGACCCCCTGCAAACCTTCCCCACACATATGCCAACACTAACACAAATCAATATGCTTCTACATACACAGGCCTAACATGCATATCATAAGCCATACCAGCACACGCGCACACACACACACACACACACACACACACACACATACTTTTTCATCTTTACTTATATAACACCTATTATACTTTACATTTTATTTTAGTGATCATACTCTTTGAAAGATTTTTATAACCTCCATTATTAACTTATATTACTATATTATTTCTCTTTGAGTACATTTTTAGGCTTGAACTTATCTTTACTTCCCAATAGACTAAAGGTAGATACTTAAGCATTCAAAATACTGACATTCTGCTATTATTTTCTCTGTGCCTGGTAAACTGTATTATGCACCAGCAGAAAGACATAATAAACACTCACCAAAAGCATTTAGTTTAAAAATATGGTAGTTAATACAGTTAGGCTCTGTGTCCCCACCCAAATCTCATCTCGAATTTTAATCTCCATGTGTCAAGGGATGGACCTGGTGAGAGGTGGTTGGATCATAGAGGCAGTTTCCTCCATGCTGTTCTTGTGATAGTGAGGGAGTTCTCATGAGATTTGATGGTTTAAAACTGTTTGGCATTTCCTCCCTGGCTCTCTCTCACTCTGGCTGCCATGTAAGATATGCCTTGCTTCCCTGTCACCTTCCACCATGATTGTAAGTTTCCTGAGGCCTCTCCAGCCATGTGGAACTGTGAGTCAATTAAATGTCTTTTATTTATAAATTAGCCAGTCTCAGGTAGTTCTTTACAGCAGTGTGACAATGGACTGATACAGTAATTAATGAACATATTGCCAGTTTTTATACAGAATATTGCATTTTATTAAGAGTTTATAAGTTTACAACTTCTAGATCTTACACTGATGTAATGAAAAATTTGAGCAAGTAATAGTCATTTATGACATGTATTGAAAATAATAGTAATGAATGTAAATATATTTAAACATCATATCTAAAATCATATTTAGATTCAGTTTCTGTTAATATTTAATGACTTTTCTTCTAGTATGTAATTGATAATTTTGTTTTTAATTTTTTTCTTTTCTTTTCTTTCTTTCTTTCTTTTTTTTTTTTTTGAGACGGAGTCTTGCTCTGTCGCCCAGGATGGAGTGCAGTGGTGCTATCTCCACTCATTGCAAGCTCCACCTCCCAGGTTCATGCCATTCTCCTGCCTCAGCCTCCCGAGTAGCTGGTACTACAGGCACCCGCCATCACGTCTGGCTGATTTTTTTATTATTATTATTTTTAGTAGAGACGGCGTTTCACCATGTTAACTAGGATGGCCTCTATCTCCTGACCTCATGATCTGCCCGCCTTGGCCTCCCAAAGTTCTGGAATTACAGGTGCGAGCCATCGTGCCCAGCTGATAATTTTACATTATACAGAGTGGAGATCACAATACACACCATTTATTCCCCTATTTTCAATTAATATTACATGGTGAATATTTTTACATCTTCAAAATTTTGTCAAATATATTTACACATGCATGTGTAAATCAATAATATAATTATTTAGATACCTTAGTGGAACCATGCAATGATAGGACTAAAATAAATATATTGACAGAACATTTTCTCCCATATGGATACTTCCTTTAAGCCAAAGCTATTTATTACCAAAAAGACTGAGTGCTTATTTAGTAAGCTAAAGTTAGATACCCACAGTGCCTTCTTTATCATAGAAATTAAGGAGGTGAGATACTTAATAACCGTACACAATACAGGGTGGCTGATAAGTATGATATAAATTTCATTCCTTAAAAGTTAAACTGCTCTAATATTCACTTATTATGAGGCTCCGTGAATGAGAATAAGAAGTTAACATGAGACAAGTTTTCTGCCCTTGGTATATGAATAATCTATTTAAAAGGCCACATATGTACCTATGAAATAGTTACAGAACCATCCCAAGGGATGAGATGAGTAGAAATGCACAGCGTAGACAGCACATGATAGTGTAATGTGGAGGTGGAGTGTCAGTTTGGATGGGTGCAATCCATGGAGGCTTCCTGCAGAAGATGGACTTAGCTCTGCTTTCTGAATAATGGAGTATGGTAGAATAACATTTATTCATGGCCTATTACACATCAGTCTTCATCTTTGGACACCTTCACAGCACCACTGTGAAACCATTCTCATTTGACAGCTAGGTCTTGAACACTAACTCCACATATCTGCTCTTGAAGTGGCACTGTTAATAAGACAATTAGAAAGAACAGGGACAACATTGATGCAGGGAATGAAGCAAGCAAGAGCCTAGGGAGGCATGATATCTGGGAGTGAGCCCAGGCAGGTCACAAGCCAGGTATGTAAGAGGTGAGATGCAGTGTGATGTTTTATAATGGGTTGACAGCATGTCTAAGATGAGATTGAATAGACACTGTGGGATCATGTGGTGGAAGACATCAAATAGCAAAGAGGGACCACTCATGCCTATACCCCATGATGCTGATTCTGCCAGTGAGATCCCATTAATGCTCTGACTGCAATTTTACATTTGCTTAACTTAAATCTGCTTAGAAAAACAAGCTCAGTTAGTTTAGAAATAATTCTGCAGTCTGTGTATGTTTATATGTGTGTATCTGTACGTGCAATCACAAAATCTCTTCTCCATTATGGTGAAAATATAATTAATGCATTTTTCAATGATAGTGAACTGAGGGCCCTTCTATAGACACACACCCTTTTATATATTTGCAGTCAAAATGAATTATTTTCTATTTCTATTAAAAGACCTGGCTCTTGCCCTCATAGAGTTTGGGGTCTAACGGCCAAGGTAAACTGCAACAGGTGCTACAGAGGAAAGGTACACGGCAACTTGACAATGTCCAATGTCAGCTCCAGGAAGTCTTCCACAAGGAAACATTTACTGATTTTAAATTTCTAGGAAGAATGGGGAAAACCTGTACAAATGCAGAAGGAAAGAATGCTTAAACTGAGGAGATAGCATATCAGATACCCTGTGATTTGATAGATCAAAGCTTATATTAGGAACAGGAAAAATAAAACCATGTGGTTGAAGTGCAGAGATCAAGAGGAAACAGCAAGTCACATGAAACAAAATATTGACAGGGCTGGATCGTGCAAGGTTTGCAGGTTGTGGTAATGATCTGGTTTTCACTCCCTCTGCCCAAAATGAGGAGCCATTGATGAATTTTAAGTAGAGTCCTGATATGATCAGATTTGATTTAAAAGAAGGAAATAGGATGAAGAGAAAAATTAGAAACTAAGTGCTAAAAGATCAATGACTGTATGAAGATAAACAAACCAAGAACCACCAGCAATAAGCATTGTTAACAGTATTGGCATGATGTAGAAAAGATCGGGGTTTTGCAGAAGGGTACAAGAGAAATAGAAGAAAATGCAGCTTCTATATCTCAGTCTACAGGGAGATACAGTACTTACATTGATGAATGCAGTGCAGAGTGATACATGAGAAACTAAAGTAATTAGATTAAGATCAGAGCTTCTAGTTTAAATCCAGGTCCTGGCACTTATCAGAGATGAGAGGCACAGCCAATTACCTAGTTGCTATGAACATCTCTCTTTGTTTCCATAAAACGTGAAGAACCATAACTTATTGTATAGGGCTTGGAGAAGGATTAAATAACATGATGTGGAATAAAGCATTGAGCCCAGAGCATATACAATCACTAAAGAATCTTAGGTACAACTATTTTTAAAGAATTGTCATTGCTGTTGCTATCACAATGTCATTCTTAAAATCATTGTAATCAACATTGTTTTAAGAGGCTTAATAGACACTTTTTTTTTGTACAGTCAATTTCAGAGATGATAAAAATTTGAGATGGAGTCTACCAGGAATTCTAAGGAGTATCCAACAGTTCAGAAATTAATCTGTTACAACCAACTTTTGTAGACCTTTAGAAGTAGTTTAGAGTTAATTCTCAATATAAGATGAGCACTACGATAATTCCCTTTTTACTCATAAAGAAACCGAGGTATTGAGACATTAAGTAATTTCCAGGGATCATTCAGTTTGTAAGCAGAGGAACTCGAATTTGAATCCAAGGGTCTGGCTACAGAATGGGCATGACTAACCACTAGGCAGCAATGCCTCTGCTATGTTAAAATGGTCAGTGGTGAGGGTGACTAGTATAATACTGTCCTTTGATTTCCAATTTCTTCATGGTATGGTATGCAAACTACCACACAAAAAGCCTATTCTTTTGCAAAAAATTACTTGGGAAACTCGTGGAAAAGGACATGACCCAAAGGCCGTGTTATCATTTTTTCCTTTGTTTAAGATCTCATCCTCAAAGATGAAACCTGGCTCATGCATATCATGGAGCTTAATGTACTATTCAGTCACCAGGGCAAAGGAAAGTTGTATTCACAGATGGATTGTGTCTGCAGGCAGCCTTGAACTTCTCATGTTCAGTTGAAGAAACCATTTTCTTTGGTAATGCAACATTTGATGCAGCTGGATAGCTAGATTATTCCACAGCATCTGAACATCCACCAACAAAATGATGAAAGCTTGAGACAATTCGGTTTGCTCAGAGAAGTGTTATTGCTCAAGCTAGCCAACCGTCACTAACGTTTTTATATAAAGCCGATAAGTTCAGAGGTCTCTGGGATGAGCAGAGGCATGTGAAATCAGAAGATGGGTGCTGTCTATATCCTTCAAGGCCAGCTCAAATGTCGTCTCCTCCCTGACCACTGGACGCAGAATAAATGACTGTCAAAACACTCACTGTACACTTCTATGTTAGCACCAATTCCAGCATATTAGACATGTAGCCCTCAGGCCTTCTCAGAAGCACATTTTATGGATGCTGATGAGAGTAATTTTATCATTATTTCCTTACTCAAAGACCTTGAGCACATATGAGAAATTATTTTACACATGACTTGAACAGTACTGCTGGCAGTACTCTGGTTGCTCCCAATTTCCCGCTTGCTCAACCTCCCTCTCCCTGCTAGCTCAGCTTGCAGCCACCTCCTCTAGAATGCTGCATGTGGTATCATACAATGTTCATCTGAACAATTCCTCCTCTGCCTGCTGCCCCACTGCAATGCCAGTGCCCACCAACAATTCATCCTTTCGCAGTTATATAACCACAGTCTGGCCATGTCTCTTCATGATCCACCTGTCTCCTCCTCAAAGGGAGACGTCTTTTTTTTTTTTTTTTAATTCACCAAAAGGATAAAGGGTGAGAGTACAAGTGTAGCCAAGCAGTTGTGCTTATTAATAGATTTGTTCTAGGATTATCAAATATATCAAAGAAGCCTTCCTTAGGTCCCACATCCGTGGCATGCAGGGGATTCGGCAGAATGGGATGGAGTTTATTGGGGTGGGGTAGGTTACTATTTAGACTTACACTTACTCATGCTTTTCCTTTCACATCAGGCTCTCCATGAGGACCCTCTGTCACCCAACTCTTAATTCATTTATGGTGCTCTTGTTCCCTCTCATGGACTTGGTGTCTCTCACTGATTCAGCTGCCCTTGTCAAACTGTCTGAAGCACATGGATGGCAGTCATAATTGAAGAATTTAGTGCAGGTGGTAGCCAGAGCTACTTAAATGCCTTCTGTAGCAGCCATGGTAAAATGCTTTATTTATTGTTTTAATGGAGTTTCCTTTATTTAGAGATAGAAGAAATACTGGTGCAGTCTGTATCTGTAATCTGAAAAAGGAGATTATTTCCAGTCTTTAAAGAAAATCCAGGGAGGAGCCAAGATGGCCGAATAGGAACAGCTCCGGTCTACAGCTCCCAGCATGAGTGGCGCAGAAGACGGGGGATTTCTGCATTTCCATCTGAGGTAACGGGTTCATCTCACTAGGGAGTGCCAGACAGTGGGCACAGGTCAGTGGGTGCAGCGCACCGTGTGCGAGCCGAAGCAGGGTGAGGCATTGACTCACTCAGGAAGCGCAAGAGCTCAGGGAGTTCCCTTTCCTAGTCAAAGAAAGGGGTGACAGACGGCACCTGGAAAATCGGGTCACTCCTGCCCTAATACTGCGCTTTTCCGACAGGCTTAAAAAACGGTGCACCAGGAGATTATATCCTGCACCTCGCTCTGAGGGTCCTATGCCCACGGAGTCTCGCTGATTGCTAGCACAGCAGTCTGAGATCAAACTGCAAGGTGGCAGCGAGGCTGGGGGAGGGCTGCCCGCCATTGCCCAAGCTTGCTTAGGTAAACAAAGCAGCCGGGAAGCTCCAACTGGGTGGAGCCCACCACAGCTCAAGGAGGCCTGCCTGCCTCTGTAGGCTCCACCTCTGGGGGCAGGGCGCAGACAAACAAAAACACAGCAGTAACCTCTGCAGACTTAAATGTCCCTGTCTGACAGCTTTAAAGAGAGCAGTGGTTCTCCCAGCACGCAGCTGGAGATCTGAGAACGGGCAGACTGCCTCCTCAAGTGGCTCCCTGACCCCTGATCCCTGACACCTGAGCAGCCTAACTGGGAGGCACCCCCAGTAGGGGCAGACTGACACCTCACACTGCCGGGTACTCCTCTGAGACAAAACTTCCAGAGGAACGATCAGACAGCAGCATTCGCGGTTCATGAAAAACCACTGTTCTGCAGACACCGCTGCTGATACCCAGGCAAACAGGGTCTGGAGTGGACCCCTAGCAAACTCCAACAGACCTGCAGCTGAGGGTCCTGTCTGTTAGAAGGAAAACTAACAAACAGAAAGGACATCCACATCAAAAACCCATCTGTACATCACCATCATCAAAGACCAAAAGTAGATAAAACCACAAAGATGGGGAAAAAACAGAGCAGAAAAACTGGAAACTCTAAAAAGCAGAGCACCTCTCCTCCTCCAAAGGATCACAGTTCCTCACCAGCAGTGGAACAAAGCTGGACGGAGAATGACTTTGACGAGTTGAGAGAAGAAGGCTTCAGACGATCAAACTACAAGCTACAAAAGGAAATTCAAACCAAAGCCAAAGAAGTTAAAAACTTTGAAAAAATTTAGACAAATGTATAACTAGAATAACCATTACAGAGAAGTGCTTAAAGGAGCTGATGGAGCTGAAAGCCAAGGCTCGAGAACTATGTGAAGAATGCAGAAGCCTCAGGAGCTGATGCGATCAACTGGAAGAAAGGGTATCAGTGATGGAAGATGAAATGAATAAAATGAAGCGAGAAGGGAAGTTTAGAGAAAAAAGAATAAAAAGAAATGAACAAAGCCTCCAAGAAATATGGGACTATGTGAAAAGACCAAATCTACGTCTGATTGGTATACCTGAAAGTGACGGGGAGAATGGAACCAAGTTGGAAAACACTCTGCAGGATATTATCCAGGAGAACTTCCCCAATCTAGCAAGGCAGGCCAACATTCAGATTCAGGAAATACAGAGAACGCCACAAAGATACTCCTCAAGAAGAGCAACTCCAAGACATGTAATTGTCAGATTCACCAAAGTTGAAATGAAGGAAAAAATGTTAAGGGCAGCCAGAGAGAAGGGTCGGGTTACCCACAAAGGGAAGCCCATCAGACTAACAGCGGATCTCTCGGCAGAAATTCTACAAGCCAGAAGAGAGTGGGGGCCAATATTCAACATTTTTAAAGAAAAGAATTTTCAACCCAGAATTTCATATCCAGCCAAACTAAGCTTCATAAGTGAAGGAGAAATAAAATACTTTACAGACAAGCAAATGTTGAGAGATTCTGTCACCACCAGGCCTGCCCTAAAAGAGCTCCTGAAGGAAGCACTAAACATGGAAAGGAACAACCAGTACTAGCCGCTGCAAAATCATGCCAAAATGTAAAGACCATCAAGACTAGGAAGAAACTGCATCAACTAACGAGCAAAATAACCAGCTAACATCATAATGACAGGCTCAAATTCACACATAACAATATTAACTTTAAATGTAAATGGACTAAATGCTCCAATTAAAAGACAGACTGGCAAATTGGATAAAGAGTCAAGACCCATCAGTGTGTTGTATTCAGGAAACCCATCTCACATGCAGAGACACAGATAGGATCAAAATAAAAGGATGGAGGAAGATCTACCAAGCAAATGGAAAACAAAAAAAGGCAGGGGTTGCAATCCTAGTCTCTGATAAAACAGACTTTAAACCAACAAAGATCAAAAGAGACAAAGAAGGCCATTACATAATGGTAAAGTGATCTATTCAACAAGAAGAGCTAACTATCCTAAATATATATGCACCTAATACAGGAGCACCCAGATTCATAAAGCAAGTCCTGAGTGACCTACAAAGAGACTTAGACTCCCACACATTAATAATGGGAGACTTTAATACCCCACTGTCAACATTAGACAGATCAACGAGACAGAAAGTCAACAAGGATACTCAGGAATTGAACTCAGCTCTGCACCAAGCGGACCTAATAGACATCTACAGAACTCTCCACCCCACATCAACAGAATATACATTTTTTTCAGCACCACACCACACCTATTCCAAAATTTACCACATAGTTGGAAGTAAAGCTCTCCTCAGCAAACGTAAAAGAACAGAAATTATAACAAACTATCTCTCAGACCACAGTGCAATCCAACTAGAACTCAGGATTAAGAAACTCACTCAAAACCGCTCAACTACATGGAAACTGAACGACCTGCTCCTGAATGACTACTGGGTACATAACGAAATGAAGGCAGGAATAAAGATGTTCTTTGAAACCAACGAGAACAAAGACACAACATACCAGAATCTCTGGGACACATTCAAAGCAGTGTGTAGAGGGAAATTTATAGCACTAAATGCCCACAAGAGAAAGCAGGAAAGATCCAAAATTGACACCCTAACATCACAATTAAAAGAACTAGAAAAGCAAGAGCAAACACATTCAAAAGCTAGCAGAAGGCAAGAAATAACTAAAATCAGAGTAGAACTGAAGGAAATAGAGACACAAAATAACCCTTCAAAAAATCAATGAACCCAGGAGCTGGTTTTTTGAAAGGATCAACAGAATTGATAGACCACTAGCAAGACTAATAAAGAAAAAAAGAGAGAAGAATCAAATAGACGCAATAAAAAATGATAAAGGGGATATCACCACTGATCCCACAGAAATACAAACTACCATCAGAGAATACTACAAACGCCTCTACGCAAATAAACTAGAAAATCTAGAAGAAATGGATAAATTCCTCGACACATACACCCTCCCAAGACTAAACCAGGAAGAAGTTGAATCTCTGAATAGACCAATAACAGGAGCTGAAATTGTGGCAATAATCAATAGCTTACCAACCAAAAAGAGTCCAGGACCAGATGGATTCACAGCCGAATTCTACCAGAGGTACAAGGAGGAACTGGTACCATTCCTTCTGAAACTATTCCAATCAAAGAAAAAGAGGGAACCCTCCCTAACTCATTTTATGAGGCCAGGATCATCCTGATACCAAAGCCAGGCAGAGACACAACCAAAAAAGAGAATTTTAGACCAATATCCTTGATGAATATTGATGCAAAAATCCTCAATAAAATACTGGCAAACCGAATCCAGCAGCACATCAAAAAGCTTATCCACCATGATCAAGTGGGCTTTATCCCTGGGATGCAAGACTGGTTCAATATACGCAAATCAATAAATGTAATCCAGCATATAAACAGAACCAAAGACAAAAACCACATGATTATCTCAATAGATGCAGAAAAGTCCTTTGAAAAAATTCAACAACGCTTCATGCTAAAAACTCTCAATAAATTAGGCATTGATGGGACGTATCTCAAAATAATAAGAGCTATTTATGACAAACCCACAGCCACTATCATACTGAATGGGCAAAAACTGGAAGCATTCCCTTTGAAAACTGGCACAAGACAGGGATGCCCTCTCTCACCACTCCTATTCAACATAGTGTTGGAAGTTCTGGCCAGGGCAATTAGGCAGGAGAAGGAACAAAAGGGTATTCAATTAGGAAAAGAGGAAGTCAAATTGTCCCTGTTTGCAGAAGACAAGATTGTATATCTAGAAAACCCCATTGTCTCAGCCCAAAATCTCCTTAAGCTGATAAGCAACTTCAGCCAAGTCTCAGGATACAAAATCAAGGTACAAAAATCACAAGCATTCTTATACACCAATAACAGACAAACAGAGAGCCAAATCATGAGTGAACTCCCATTCACAATTGCTTCAAAGAGAATAAAATACTTAGGAATCCACCTTACAAGGGACGCGAACGACCTCTTCAAGGAGAACTACAAACCACTGCTCAATGAAATAAAAGAGGATACAAACAAATGGAAGAACATTCCCATGCTCATGGGGAGGAAGAATCAATATTGTGAAAATGGCCATACTGCCCAAGGTAATTTATACATTCAATGCCATCCCCATCAAGCTACCAATGACTTTCTTCACAGAATTGGAAAAAAACTACTTTAAAGTTCATATGGAACCAAAAAAGAGCCCGCATCGCCAAGTCAATCCTAAGCCAAAATAACAAAGCTGGAGGCATCACACTACCTGACTTCAAACTATACTACAAGGCTACAGTAACCAAAACAGCATGGTACTGGTACCAAAACAGAGATATAGATCAATGGAACATAATAGAGCCCTCAGAAATAATGCTGCATATCTACAACTATCTGATCTTTGACAAACCTGAGAAAAACAAGCAATGGGGAAAGGATTCCCTATTTAAGAAATGGTGCTGGAAAAACTGGCTGGCCATATGTAAAAAGCTGAAACTGGATCCCTTCCTTATACACCTTATACAAAAATCAATTCAAGATGGATTAAAGACTTAAACGTTCCACCTAAAACCATAAAAACCCTAGAAGAAAACCTAGGCATTACCATTCAGGACATAGGCACGGGCAAGGACTTCATGTCTAAAACACCAAAAGCAATGGCAACAAAAGCCAAAATTGACAAATGGGATCTAATTAAACTAAAGAACTTCTGCACAGCAAAAGAAACTACCATCAGAGTGAACAGGCAACCCACAAAATGGGAGAAAATTTTCGCAACCTACTCATCTGACAAAGGGCCAATATCCAGAATCTACAATGAACTCCAACAAATTTACAAGAAAAAAACAACCCCATCAAAAAGTGGGCAAAGGACATGAACAGGCACTTCTCAAAATAAGACATTTACGCAGCCAAAAAACAGGTGAAAAAATGCTCACCATCACTGGCCATCAGAGAAATGCAAATCAAAACCACAGTGAGATATCATCTCACACCAGTTAGAATGGCAATCATTAAAAAGTCAGGAAACAACAGGTGCTGGAGAGGATGTGGAGAAATAGGAACACTTTTACACTGTTGGTGGGACTGTAAACTAGTTCAACCATTGTGGAAGTCAGTGTGGCGATTCCTCAGGGATCTAGAACTAGAAATACCATTTGACCCAGCCATCCCATTACTGGGTATATACCCAAAGGACTATAAATCATGCTGCTATAAAGACACATGCACACGTATGTTTATTGCGACACTATTCACAATAGTAAAGACTTGGAACCAACCCACATGTCCAACAATGATAAACTGGATTAAGAAAATGTGGCACATATACACCATGGAATACTATGCAGCCATAAAAAATGATGAGTTCATGTCCTTTGTAGGGACATGGATGTAATTGGAAATCATCATTCTCAGAAAACTATCGCAAGAACAAAAAACCAAACACCGCATATTCTCACTCATAGGTGGGAATTGAACAATGAGAACATATGGACACAGGAAGGGGAACATCACACTCTGGAGACTGTTGTGGGGTGGGGGGAGAGGGGAGGGATAGCATTGGGAGATATACCTAATGCTAGATGACGAGTTAGTGGGTGCAGCACACCAGCATGGCACATGTATACATATGTAACTAAACTGCACATTGTGCACATGTACCCTAAAACTTAAAGTATAATAATAATTAAAAAAAAAAAAAAGAAAATCCAGTATATTTTGAATCTTAATGCACAGCATCTGTATTGCTTTTGTAAGACTATGATAAAAAAGTACCACAAACTAAGTGGCTTAAGACACAGAAATTTACTCCCTCACAGTTCTGGAAGCCAGAAGTCTGTGAGATCAAGGGGTGAGCCGTGTTGGTTCCTTAGGAGGGAGGTGAGGGAGAATTTGCCCCGTGCCATGCCCCCACCATCTGGCAATTTGCTGGCACTCTTTGGCACTATGTGACTTGTTGAAACATCAGCCCAATAACGGCCTTCATGGTCACATGGCGTTCTACCTGTGTGCATTTCTATTTTCAAATTTCCCCTATTTACAGCACCAGTCATATCATATTAGAATGCCCCCTAATAACCTAATTTAATTTGATTACCTTTATAAAGACCCTCTCCAAATAAAATCACATTGTGAAGTACTTGGGGTTAGGATTTCAACATAGGAATATTTGGGGGACATGTAAAAGTTTTAAGTAAATAAATAAAACTTTGAAAAGGATAAGCAACAGATGGCTGCCCTCCTTTTATTCATATATGTCTCCTAAGGGTTATGTTGCCGTAGCCTACACATAGACACATACACAATAGGAATTTAGGATTTTTAGAAGAAAAGCACAAAACTGTTACTGACATTCCAAACTCTCAGACAAATTTGACAATTCTAGTCTCCTCCATGCAGAGATATTTTTCACAGTTTCATAAACATTGACCTGGGGTTAGGTGGATCTGGTTTTGATAGCCAGATTTTTTACTTCAAAATTGTATAACCTTGGAAAGTGACCTCGTCTTTTGCATTTCAACTTTCTCATCTATGAAGTTAGAATAAAAATCCACATATTTAAATACTAGATGACATATTTTCAGTGGTGCCAAGGAGAGCAAGTGATAAGTTGAAGGATTGAAATAAAGTTAGCTCTCCACCATAGACCTGTTCTATTAGGGAAGATAATGATACTTAAAGCACTCTGACAGCCCAGTGAACATAAGCGGATTAATTTTTCTTTTTACTATGACTTTTAGAGAACTAAATATGATTTAAAAATTCAAACTTTGCCTATATCTGCCTTGATCTGATTATATGAGGTCTTATCTCTTTTAAATGTGTTGGGATCCTAAAGCTGATTTTATTATTTACTCTGTATCAATATATTTTGAAGTCAGTAGATAAAGGCATAAGAAGGCAATATAGTTTGAACATACAACAAATATCTCAGGCACTTTTTTTTTAAAGGAGGCAGCATCTTGTAGTAGGAAAAAAAAAACCTGGATTAGGGATCAGAGACTTGGATTAAAGTTCTGGACTTTCTACCTCCTTTAGGTACATCACTCAACATTTCTACGTCTCTGATGTCTTTAGTTAAAAACAGATCAAATTACCTCCCTCATAATATTGTAATTGTCAAAATGGAAAATATGGGCGAACCGCTTACTACATAGTCACCACCTGGTAAATAGCTAGTACATTTATATTAAGCCCCACACGCACAATCTATGAAAAAGGAAACCCTTATCACAGCAACTTTCTCTATGTACAGGTTTTCATGAGAAAATTGGTTTGAATCAGGTGTTTGAAATATTTATGACATATTTTTAGGTATAACAAAGAAGTGCTAAGATGATTGCAGAAAGGTGTGTGCAAGGAAAAATATAACTAGATCAAGCCCCAGAATAAGTAAGAAGAATTTCAGCGCATATTTTCCAATATTAAATTAGTAGATTAAAAGCAGCTATATTGGTTCACCTTTTTATCTTCTAAACCACTTATGCCTAAAATGAGAAGACACAAATTACACTTATTACACTCCATGATATACCTACTTTTTATAGCACTTGATTTCTATATTGTTTGTATGTTTCCTCTACCAAAATGTGAGCAATTTTGACACACAAAAAGTCAGGTCTTGTATTTTAATGCCACAGATAGAAAGACAGACATTGGAGTCACACAGCTGGAATTGCTTCCAGATCTAAATTTACCTGCCGTGTAGCCTTTGGCAAGTTACTGAGGCTATCTGAACTTCACTTTCCTGACCTATAGAAGTGAGGCCAATATTTGTATTATGCCGATAGCACTGTTGTGGAGACTAGATGAATTGTACACACTTAGAACCACAACGGGCATATGGCAAGCAGCTCAGTAAAAGTTAGCTATTACGTCATTCCAAAAGGGCCCAGCAAAATCCTCAAATTTGAAATCCAGATTTCTGGAATTCTCAGATATCCTGCATCTAAAATTTCTCCATTCGTGGTTCACTCACTCATTTACTTACCCATTCTGCATTCATTGAGCACCTACCGTTTGCTGAGAATTTGTATGTCCACATAGTCTCATACCCACTTATATTCATTTTCAGAATCAACTAACATTACCTAAATAATCTCAGACACTCAGACATCCTCTACCTTCGATCTTCTAGGATTCTAAAATGACTGTGAGGGTTCTTCATTTGAATACGTGTTTAGTGTTTCCTGACACAGAAAAAAAATAAGTCTCATCAATTGTCTTTATCATTATGTCAGAGACATGTGAACCAAAGCAACTCCATCTTAATTAAACAGGAGCTGGGTAAAATGAGGCTGAAACCTACTGGACTGCATTCCCAGATGGTTAAGGCATTCTAAGTTACAGGATAAGATAGGAGGTTGGCACAAAATACAGGTCATAAAGACCTTGCTGATAAAACAGATTTCAGTAAAGGACCTGGCCCAAACTCATGAAAAACGAAATGGCGATGAGTTTGACGTCTGGTCATCCTCACTGCTACACACCCACCAGTGCCATGGCAGTTTACAAATACCATGGCAACATCAGGAAGTTACCCTATATGGTATAAAAAAAGGAGGCATGAATAATCCATCCCTTAGCATATCATCAAGAAATAACCATAAAAAAATGGTCAACCAGCAGACTTCTCTTATTCTTTTACTTTCTTAATAAGCCATTCTCTTATCTTTTACTTTCTTAATAAACTTGCTTTCAGTTTGCACTGTGGACTCACCCTGAATTCTTTCTTGCAGGAGATCCAAGAACCCTCTCTTGGGATCTGGATCTGGACCCCTTTCCTGTAACAATTAGAATGACCTGGGTTTTAGGCCAAATACACATGGGAAAAATTGTGTTTAAGACAAAATATTTCCAGAAAAGTGATTTTGCAAACTCATATTGAGTAACTAGATGTTGCATTTAATCTTTTCTTAGGGCACTTTGATACAGTGAGAGAGAGAGAATGGGAGGGAGGGAGAGAAAGGGGAAGAATTAGGAGGAGAAGGGGGAGGGGAGGGAAGGGGAGGAAGGGAGAGGAGGGAAGGGGAGGAGAAGAGAGAGTTCTTCCTCCAAAACTATTTCTTAGATATTTTCAATTTTATAAATGCTTTCATTCCTCTGGCAACAGCAAAATGAACAAGCACATAGTATAGGGAGAAATGCAGCCCCATAAAAACTGCTCCCATTGAGTGGGTGATGGCCTCCCTCAGAACCCATAAATGCTTTATCCGCAGGTACTGCTTCCTCAGAGTCAAGGCTGGGCAAGCCTAGTAAGTGCTGTTGAAATGCTGGAAGGGGCAATCTTATTTGAAGAAGAGGTCAAGGAAGCAATCCAAGCCCTGTTTCAATGACTAGGATTTGCAATGCACAGAGCCCAGTGAGTGGCACTTCAAACAAATTCTACCACTCCACACTGGGATGCAGATGTCTGCTTTGCTGATGCCTTGTTTCCTAAAGGGGAAAAGCCATTGGCACCTTCATATGGTGAAACTTTTGACAGTGAAAGAAAGAAAAATTAAATAAATAGTGAAAGCAAAGCAAAAAAACAACATGCAGGGGATGGTGCTTGTGAAAAAGATCATTCTCTAAGAATGAAATGGAGTCTTTCCACTACAGGAAAAGGTAGATTTGGGCAATGCCTCCCACTGCTAACCCCCTTCCACTTGATCCTCAAATGTAATTAAAGTAGATTTGGCATAAACCCAAAGTCAATAACAGATTACAAGAGAAGAAAGGGATTCTGTGAAGCATACATCAGTTTATCATAGTCTGTATATGTTTGGGCATTAGTTGTATTAGTAGTGAGGGAAGATTGAAGAAAATTTAAGCATTTGACATGATCTTTTCTATATTAGAAAAATACCCTATAGATATTATAGATCATGCTTAGGAGGAAATTATGACTAAAAACCTGGAAGCAAGGAATACAAAGAGACTACTATTGGGATTGTTCAAACACAATTTAATAATTAAGAGGGTGTCTGTGTCTGGGGCAAAGATGTAGTAAATACTTAGGAGGCACAAAAATATATAAGACCTAGTCATTTGGAAGAGAAATTAAGGTAGTGGGAGGTGATGACCAGATGTAAACTGTAAATAGTTTTATTCTGCATCCTATTCTCCTTTTCTTTCTTCCTTCCTTTATTTTTTTTCTAATATAACCTTTATATTTTAAAAAATGTGTATACCAGACATTGTGCAGCAGATTGCATTTTCCAAAAGCAATTCCACCACTAAATCTCATCACTCCTTTTATTCCTGCAATGGGATGTTGACACTTCTCCATTAATCAGTAAGATCTCCTTTACCTCCCCTTGAATATGAGCATGAGCCAGCCTTTGCATCCAGGTTCTAATGAATATTATGTGAGGTGAATGACTTTTGGTCACATTTAAGATTAGGCTATAAACGTGATCGAGTTTGTGCTTGACCAGTTTTCTCTCAGGGTAACAGCCATTGAAAGCAGTTGCCATGTTGTGAGCAAGCCCCATCCATATGAAGAGGCCACGTGTGGATATTCTAACCAATGGTTCCATCTCAGCTCTCAACTAATAGCATCAACTTGCAGGCTTGTAAGTGATCCTTCACATAATGCCACTCTAGATGATATTGAGGCAGAGATAAGCTATATCCACCTACCTCTATCCAACTTGCACATCTCACAGTAAAATAAATGCTGTCATTGCTTTTAGCTACTATGTTTTGAGGAAATACATTAGCAATTACACAGACATTCCATCATATTATGATATTGCAAAGTTGAATATTACTCATTCTTTCTTTCCAATAACATATTCTCATAAATTAGACAAACACTCAATATTAGCAAAATTCGATCAATACAAAAATCATGTTTATGGTAAATGGAGGTATAATAGAAAGGTAATTAAATTTCTTAGTGATTGATGCCTATTTCAGGTGCTTATTACTCCTGTAAGTTCATTCAAAATCTTAGTATCTGCTAGACTTGATTCTTAGGGCAGGATGATTTCAGGATCCCACACTATGTGCCCATGAGCATGACCCTTTGTGACAAAAAACCAGTCACTGCTGAGATGTCTCAACCACAACAACAACGAAAGAAGGGTTTTCCCCTATACTTATACGTTATTTGGAAGATACTTTAAATTGTCATTTGTTAGGCCCATGGTTAGTTGAAAAAGACAACTTCAGATACTCTTCATTTCTAAACTTCCACCAAAATTTTTTTTTTACAATCCATCTTTGCTAACAAGTGATTTGTAGAGGATTTGACATTCTGTCCAGAATATATGGACATTCTGATAGGTAAGTGAGCAAATGACATTTGTGTGACAGTTCACAAGTTCTATGAAGATATGCTTTAGATATTTGTCCATGCCCAAATGTCATGTTGAAATGTATGTAGTTCCCAATGTTGGAGGTGGTGCGAGGTATTTGGGTCATGGGTGCAGATCCCTTATGACTTGGTGCTATCCTTGTGATAGTGACTGAGTTCTCACGAGATCTGGTTGTTGTAAAGTGTGGCACCTCCCCACCACCCCTACACTGCCACCTCTTGCTCCTGCTCCCACCATGTATAGTGCTGGCTCATGCTTCACCTTCCACCATGATTGTAAGCTTGCCAAGGCCTCAACAGAAGCTGGGGAGATGCCAATACCATGCTTCCTGTATAGCCTGCAGAACCATGAGTCAATTAAACTTCTTTTCTTTATAAGTTACCTAGTCTTGGGTATTTCTTTATAGTAATACAAGAATGCTCTAATACACATAGAAACCACAGAACAGATCTAAATCTTCTGTCAGAGTTTCTGGGGCCAGGCACCATAAATATGTACATAACATTGCTCCTGGGCCATGAGCCTTGAGTTCACTCGCTTGACTATATTTAAGGTGACAAGTGTTGGACGACAAACTCGTGGAGCAATAGCAGGACTTCATTTTCATGGGTGTGTGGATTTACTGTCATTGTAACTAGCATTGTGTTTAAAAAGAACAAACCCTTTGGTTTAAATAGAGTGTTTAAAATTATTGTCTTTGCTGTGAATAAACACATAAAGATAATAACACTACTTGGTCTGGGGTGGGAGACATCTTGGACATTAGGATCTGAATCTAATCTTTTAACAGTCTGAGGGATCTAGGAGAGGATAACAGTGCATTTGAGTAAAGAAAACTTGAGAATCTCAAGGCGGATAAACAGACTTATTCTGGCAGTCAATAATTCATGATCACCAATCGTTTCACTGAGTCGTCCAAAGTCTTTACAAGACTTTGTGTCAAATAAACATGGATTCAAGTTCATGCTCAGCCATTAACTTGTTACCAATTATTTAACCTGTAAAGCCTCATTAAATGCACTTAAAGTGTATAACAGTGTGCTAGGCATGTAATTAGTACTCAGTGAACGACAGCTTCTAGAACAGCATGCCAACGGTCACCATTACACTATGACAACATGGCTAATGTTGTTGTTGTTATCTGAAGGAGCTGGTAGCTCATCCCAATACAATGTCAGACAAAGGATCTATACTAGAGATGAGGATTTGGGAGTAATGATTATATAGGATGTAGTTAGAATTATTGGAGGAGGAGATTCAAAAGATCCACAAATTAAACTCAAGGAGATCCAGAGATTAAACAAAAAGAGACACAAGAGAACCCAACAGTACTATATATAAGGTTGAGGTAGAAGAGGAAGACACAGAAGAATTATTGATAGGAAGATATGTAGGAAAAAACAAATAAAATGGACAAGAACCATGGAAACGGAAAAAGAGAGTGTTTTACATAGAATCTTAACAAGGAGCCAAAAACTTTGTAATCAGTCCATTCCACTGTATTCTATTCCCTATTTTCAGTGTGTCTGGGGACCTCTGTAGTGTAAGTGGAATATTTAGCCTAGCTAATAACAACCATAAAGCAAGCAATTAATCCTTAATATATTGGAAAGGAGCGGCTTCCCAATAGGTAGATATTTCCCTAGATGAGTGCTAGAACAGTTAATCCTTATTGTAAGTCAGCAGTGTGTTAGAATTATTTATCTTGGAATGGATTCCTTCAACTCCTGCCGTTTTCTTCCTTATATCTAGTAACTGTCATGCTGAGTGACTAGGTGGGTTTGTTCTGGCTTGAGGAAAGACCAAATTCAAAGGGAAGTGGGGGTCCATTTCTAAAAGGAAGCATTCACTAACAAAGCCCTGTGGGGGGGTTACCAACAGGGTATCTCCTGAGACAAAGCAGATACCACCTTCACTCATCTCTCAGAAGGCAATCGTCTGCATGCGACTAGAGATATTCTAATCAGCCTGCCTAATTACAAAGCCCTATGAATCACTTTGAAAGAAAAAAAAAAAAACTTCCCTACAATAAAGGCAAAAAGAAAGACAAATTGACAATCACTTCCCTCACTAGGGTGTGATAAACCTACCAGCTGGATTGAGACAGAGTGATTCCAGTTTTCAGAGCCCTGAGTGTGAAGACGGATGTTTAAAATTGAATACTTGCAGATTTCTCATTCCATTTTTTCCCACAGAGAGAGGTAGTCACACACACAAAAAAGCGAATCAATACGGTTGGAATTTTATTAAAATATGGACTCTACTAAAAACTGTCTAATTTATTAGATAATCATTTACAGCTCACTTGAGTTGTCTATTGGCTTGAATGTATCTCTTCTAGAAGAAGATGTATGAGTTCAGAAGCTGCCAATATTATTACCACTGTGTTTTATTATTCTTCCATAAGTTTGGGGTTTAAATTAATTCAAAGAAAGCCTTGTACAAATTTCATTTGTAAGAGGGCGCATGGCCTAGTGGTCAAATCGTGGCTTTAAGGTTGTACCTAGAGTGACAATGGACTCTGGGATTGAATCTCTGCTTTGGCGCATGCTGTCTGTGCCTCAGTTTACTTATCTGTAAAATGGAAGTGATAATAATAGTACCTTTCTCATAATGTTATTTATATGGTTTGGCTGTGCCCCACCCAAAATCTCATCTTGAATTGTAATTCTCATAATCCCCACATTTCAAAGGAGACACCAAGCGGAGGTAATTGAATCATGAGGACAGTTGCCCCCATGCTGTTCTTATGATAGTGAGAACCGTGGAAACTGAAAAGGAGAGTGTTTTACATAGAATCTTTTTTAATATACACACTTTAAGTTCTAAGGCACATGTGCACAATGTGCAGGTTTGTTACGTATGTATACATGTGCCATGCTGGTGTGCTGCACCCATTAACTAGTCATTTACATTAGGTATATCTCCTAATGCTATCCCTCCCCCCTCCCCCCAACCCCACAACAGGCCCTGGTGTGTGACGTTCCCCACCCTGTGTCCAAGTGTTCTCATTGTTCAATTCCCACCTATGAGTGAGAACATGCTAATATCCAGAATCTACAAAGAACTTAAACAAATTTACAAGAAAAAATCAAACAACCCCATGAAAAAGTGGGCGAAGGATATGTACATAGAATCTTAACAAGGAGCCAACAAGTATTTTGAGTGAGTTCATTCTCCTGCGTTCATTCTACCCATTACCGCCTTGTAAAGAAGGTGCCTTGCTTCCCCTTAGACTTCCAACATAATTGTAAGTTTCCTGAGGCTTCCCCAGCCCTGTAAAATTGTGAGTCAATTAAACCTCTTTCCTTTCTAAATTACCCAGTCTTGAGCAGTTCTTTATAGCAGTGTGAGAACGGACTAATACAGTTACAAGGTTTATGGGAATTTAGATTTATTAAATATTAGCACTATGTCTAACACATGGGTGTACATAAGTGTTAAGTTCCACAAGCTCATGGTAATTACATTACCTTAAGTTGGGGCACAATTGCCATGGTCACCAGGAATAGTTTTCACACAACACATTTTAGGTATTTTTATTTTATTTTTATTTTATTTTTATTTTTACCTTTCTCTGGTACAAGTCTCCACATGCTCTGCTCTTTGCCAGCCTTGATCTTGTGCTGAAATAAATGCAAACCATTCCATGGTGTGATCAAGATTTTCTTAAATTTACTGATTGAGTTTATTTTTATTTATCAAAAAAGAAATACCCATATGTCTTTCCTCTCTTGTGGGTCATGAAGTTCGGGGTGATCAATCTTTGCCCGAAAGATTGATAGAATTCAACACATTCTACCACCCTTCTCTCTGCTTATTATTCACCCATTCCTCAAGGTTTCTTTCTCTTGCTGGGGGGCACAGTGGCTCACGCCTGTAATCTCAGCACTTTGGGAGGCCGAGGAGGGTGGATCACAAGATCAGGAGATCACGACCATCCTGGCCAATATGGTGAAACCCCATCTCTTCAAAAAATAACAAAAATTAGCCGAGCATGGTGGCGGATGCTTGTAATCCCAGCTACTCAGGAAGCTGAGACAGGAGAATCACTTGAACCAGGGAGTCAGAGGTTGCAGTGAGCCAAGATTGTGCCACCTCACTCCAGCCTGGCGACAGAGAGAGACTCCGTCTCAAAAAAAAATAAAAATTTCTTTCTCTCCCTTCTTTTAAGAACCTGACACCACTGTAGAACTCTGGGGACTAAAGACATCCCTACATATATGTATTCAATAACCTCCCCAAAAACCTCTCTAAAAAGTATCCCTCCTAAAAAAGCCTACATTCCGGTATCCATCTCTCTGAGATACCATGAGTAAAATAATGTTCGCTATAGATTCCCTATTTGTTCTTTGATATGCCCACCGGATAAATAATAGGAAAGAGTCTAATTTACGCTTATTCAGTATTCATTCAATGAAGAAATATTTACTGAGCTTTAAGTTATGTGTTGGGGAAAATAAGTGAATATACTTGTATAGTCTTTTCTCCTATTTTCATATAGATTATACAAAAGTACACTGTTTCTATACATCATTTTCTCCCATCATTTTGTCTTAATGATATTTCAAAATTGGTTAGTTAAAAAGCTTCTGATGATTTCAAAATATGTCTGCCAATATATTATATTCCTGACATCAAAGGTGGGTCAAATTATCATCCTTGGGAATACGGGCAAGACTTAGAGGCTCACGAATAGAGACTGACAAACAGAAGATGGTGGGAGTGAAATTGTATCCCTTGGATGATAGATTTTCAAAGTCTTCAAAGGTCTTAAAAGGCCACACAGCTTTCACCATCATTCCTTGGGACGCTTGCTTCTCAAAACCTAGCCATTTTGCTTTGAGAAAGCAAAGGATAGGGAATTTGTAGGTGTTCTAGTTGACATTGTAATTAAAGTCCAACCCAGTAGCCAGCATCAATCAACATACGTGAGAATGTGCCATCTCTAGGAGAATCCCAAACCCATCTTTCGAGACACCCAAGGTAATGTCACATGGAGCGAAAAGGAGCCATCTCCAAAGAGCTCTTGCCAAACTGTAGACCAATGAGCAAACAGGAGATTGCTGTTGTTTTAAGCCATGATGGTATGTGCTGTTTTGCTGTACAATAGATAACTGGAGCATCTGTGAAACCATTTTAAATATTCTTATTTCTTGATCTGTACCCCAAATCTTCTCTTTCAGGATTCAAGTTCCATCTCCAATAAAGAGTCCACACCCAAATTAGCTTAAATATTTTCATGGCAGGTTTTATATATATTTCAGTCAGTGGAGGTTTCTCGGTAAAAGTAGTGGTAAAGGTCATAAATGGCCACATAGTTTTTACCTGGCGCTCTCAGAGATGCTCCCATTTTTAATGTAAGTTTGACTTAGTACTTCATCCTTTGAAAGTCTGTGGCAGGTACTTTCATTCTGACATGCAACGGCAAGAATTATGCACTTAGAGTAAAAAAAAAACTTTCTGTGAATCAGGTCTACTGTGCATTTCTGAATTTAATATTTCTTTTTTTTATATTATACTTTAAGTTTTAGGGTACATGTGCACATTGTGCAGGTTAGTTACATACATATACATGTGCCATGCTGGTGCGCTGCACCCACTAACTCGTCATCTAGCATTAGGTATATCTCCCAATGCTATCCCTCCCCCCTCCCCCAACCCCACCACAGTCCCCAGAGTGTGATATTCCCCTTCCTGTGTCCATGTGATCTCATTGTTCAATTCCCACCTATGAGTGAGAATATGCGGTGTTTGGTTATTTCTAAGCCTCAATTTTCCAATGTCTAAGATGGTATTAAGCTTGTGTATACTATAATGTTGAGAGCTGAAATAAAAGCGTCTTTAAAAGTAAAAAAATGCCAAGCCCAGTGGCTCATGCCTCTAATCCCAGCACTTTGGGAGGCCGAGGCAGGCGGATCACCTGATATTGGGAGTCTGAGACCAGCCTGACCAACATGGAGAAACCCCGTTTCTACTGAAAACACAAAATTAGCTGGTCGTGATGGTGCATGCCTGTAATACCAGCTACTCAGGAGGCTGAGGCAGGAGAATCGCTTGAACACAGGAGGCGGAGGTTGCAGTGAGATGAGATCACGCCACTGCACTCCAGCCTGGGCAACAAGAGAGAAACTCCATATCAAAAAATAACAATAATAATAATAAAATACAAATTTTAGATATAAATATTACTGCTAAAGACATACGAATCTTAATGACAGGTTAGCTGTATCAAGGTAATACTTTAGGGCCATTGATTCATCATTGATTGAATAAAGATTCCAAAGTGGCCACTGTGTTTTCACTGTCATAACCCAATCTAATAAACGCTGCAGGTGCAGATCAAGTAAGGAAAATTATGTTTAGCCTCTGTTTATATGCTTGCACATTTTACTGGTGCCTTTGAAAATAGATTCTATTTTGAATATGTGTTTGAAATATATATTTTAAAATGAGTTGAACAATGCTTATTCATAAGGTGTTTTGAATCTTATGACAGCTGAAGTTGATATTGACCAACCTGTGTTTCTATACCAGCTTTAAGTATATGAACTCCACAGTGATACTAAAGGTGTCAGTAATTTACTTATTATCATTAGCACAAGACTTTGTGGGACATTTTAATTGCAGATCATAATGACAGAACATTTATAACCCTGTTCATTAATACATTATTTAATACAAACCTATGAAAAATTTAATTGCTGTTAAATGAAGTGTACCAGATAACATTCCAAGAGATTCAGTTTGCATTAAAAATAGGGCCTCTTAGTGTTTGATGCTATAGGGTAGTCTAGGGAAATATCACATATGGAAGGGTAGTTTTTAATATGAAAATTATTTTAGTACTTAGCATTTCAGACCATTCATGGCATTAAAAGTAGTTTCTAACATACTCAGTAGGCATAGTTTTATAAATATTGTTTTGGGAGGAAATTCCTCCATCATTAATTAGCTATCTACTATTGGGCAGATTATTTAACCTCCCTGAGCTAAGTTTCCTCATCCATAAAATTGAGCAATCCTATAGTGCTTACCTGTGGCAGAGGATGTAATTTTCCACATTAAAAAAACCCTCTTTCCCTGTAGAAGTCTCTAGTGGCTTCATGATCCTGGACCAGTAAACAACTACCAAATCTCAGGGTCATAAAACAATAACCATTTACTTCTTGCTACTGCTTGGTATCCACTGGGGCTCTGTTCAGGCCAGCAGCACCCTCATACCACAACCAAGGCTGACAGGGAAGTGTAATTTAAAATATTGGTAGTTGTCATGTCACAGGGAAAGAGAGAATGACAAAGCACACGTTTATTAAGGATTCTACCTACGCTAACTATATTTCAGTTTTGATCATACTTTATTGAGAAAAACAGTCATGTAGCCCAAGATCAGTGGGGCTTCAATAACCCTGTTTTGGCTCCAATAACCCTCTTCTTCTTCATTAACAAACCATCATTTTGTGCAGTGGAAATATACGCAGCTACAATCAAGGGTTCCCTTAACGCTAAAGGTAGCCACATGCTCCCCATCTCTGGTATTGAAAAGGAGGTATGTTCTTCTTGCCTCATAGCCTATTGTTCTTTTATATTTTCATAAAGATATCAACTAACAGCATTCCTGTGTCCTTTTGGAATAGTTGTCTCTTGCACCATTTATGGAGGGTCAAAGAGGTGTTCCATTCTCATCAAGGAAAGGTAAACAAGTAACCTAGGCTATACCAGTTACAGTCTGTTCTTACATTTGAAGCATGTGTGAACATCTCAGAGAATATAAAAATAAGTCCCAGACAAAAAATAATTTTACTCATAATTAGTTAAATGCAAATTAATAAAATGAGAAGTAAGTTCATGTCAATCAGCTGGTGAAAATTTTACAAGTCCATTAGTACCCAACTATTTATTATTACCTTTACTGTTGCCATACTGGTCCCAACTGTGTTTCCTCTTGCCTGCCCTTCTAACTGATATTTTTCTCCCATCCTTTCCCTCCTAGAATCTCTTCTCAATATAGCAACCAAAGGTGTCCTTTTAAATCTTAAGTAAGATTAGATCACTTCTATGTTTAATAACCTGAAGGATTATTAATGGATCCCCATTCCATCCTGGTAAAAACTAAAATCCTAAGATGGTAAGCGAGACCTGAAATCCTTCACCCTGTTATTCTTTTCCTCTTTTCTAACTACTCCTTGCCTCACTTGTAGCCTCACGGGCATCTTTGCTGTCTCAAAAACAAACACCCAGGAAAAATTTCACTTCAGCTAATTTGTTCTTCCCTAGATCCAGGACATGTCCTGCTAGATAAATGAATGGTGAGCTCCCAGATTTCTGTGAAGTCAACAAGTTTTTGCTTGAATGTTGCTTTCTCAGTGAGAACTTCCCTTAGTACTTAAATTAAACATGCAATCTCACCATCCCTCTAGCACTTCCTATTGCTTTGTGTTTTCTTATTTTTCTCTGTAACACTTATGAACTTCTAAAACACAAAACATTTGTTTATATTGCTTATTGTATGAGTTGCTGCATACACATACAATACCAAGAATACGTTTCTACAATACAAAGAATAAGTTTCATAAGGGCACGGATTTTTTATCTCTTTTGTTCACTATCATTGCTGAAAAAAAAAATTCAAAGAGTTTTTGGTTTGAAGTATATGGACAATAAACATTTGCTGAAATGACCTGAATTGCCAAGTATTATTAAGAATATAGGGAAATAGGAACTCAGTTATATGGCCAATTAGTGTATTGGTTTTCATAACCACTTTGAAGTATACTTTTGCAAAATCTGTTAAAGTTGAAGTGGATGTGCTCAATGGCTTGGTAATTCTCTTCTAGAGAGGAAATTATCTACAAAGAGAGTCAAAGCAGCATTGTTATAGCAAAAACAATAGTAAAAGGAGTTATCTCTTTCTTCAATGGGGAAGAATCTAAATATGTTGATTCATTCAGTCAAATGCTATGGAAATATTAAAAATATTAAAAATCTTAAACTAGATCAGGAAAAATATATACGGATACAATTTTTTTTCTGATGGAGTCTTGCTCTGTCGCCTAGTGTGGAGTGCAGTGGGGCGATCTCTGCTCACTGCAACCTCCGCCTCCCAGGTTCAAGTGATTCTCCTGCGTCAGCCTCCCGAGTAGCTGGGACTACAGGTGGGTGCAACCACACCCTGCTAATTGGATACAAATTTAAAAATAATATTAGATGGATAAAGTTAGTTGAAAAAGCACATAAGCAGTATGATAATATTTATATATATCTTATAAAATACATGCCCTTATTTGATACTTATCAACATTGATACATAATAAAATACAAGACAGGAATGAGGATGCTATAGACCAACTTCAGGGCAGAGATTTCCTTTAGGAAAGACAACAGGGTGAGGCTTTAGTTGTGTTTTAAATATATTTTAAGTAAAGAAACTCAAACTATTAAAGTTTATTATATATGGTAAGCATTTGAATGCCTATTTTATTATTTTGGATAATTTGATATGAGCTTGGAACACCTTTTAATAAATACAAACAAACAGAAACATGTCTGAGGCCAGTGTACCTCAATAGCAGTGTAATGCCCACCCTTGTTTTTACTAACCCTGTTTTTAGACTCTCCCTTTTCCTTTAATCACCTAGCCTTGTTTCCACCTGAACTGACTCTCCCTTAGCTAAGAGAGCCAGACAGACTCCATCTTGCCTCTTTCACTGGCAGCCCCTTCCTCAAGGACTTAACTGGTGCAAGCTGACTCCCAGCACATCCAAGAATGCAATTAACTGATGAGATACTGTGGCGAGCAAAATCCGCAATTCTCAGGAATTCGTCCAATTGATAACACCCAAAGCCCCGCGTCTATCACCTTGTAATAGTCTTAAAGCCCCTGCACCTGGAACTGTTTACTTTCCTGTAACCGTTTATCCTTTTAACTTTTTTGCCTACTTTACTTCTGTAAAATTGTTTTAACTAGACCCCCCTTCCCTTCTCTAAACTAAAGTATAAAAGAAAATCTAGCCCCTTCTTTGGGGCCGAGAGAACTTTGAGCGTTAGCCGTTTCTTGGCCGCCGGCTAAATAAACGGACTCTTAATTCGTCTCAAAGTGTGGCGTTTTCTCTAACTCGCTCAGGTACAACAGCAGTGACCCAACAGCAAGGTCCTGTTGCTTTCTGCTTCTGCTCCACAGATTCCAGGGGCATCCAGAAAGCTGATCTTTCTGAGATTGGTTCTTAATAGCTTTTCCTTGACTTATTTTAATATACCGTTAATATTTTTCCCCATAATTTGCTGAGGTTAGTGAAATTTGTTTTCAGTTATATATAATCAAAAATTTCTAAAAACTTCAGTAACATTAACACCCTGGAGATATGTACAGAGATATTTGAGAAGTATTAGCAAAATCCAAAACAGGCCTTTCAATCAAGCAGTAAACAATTTATACCTCTTTCAACATCTATTGGCTGTGTGACACTGAGAAACCCATTTTTTTTTTGTCTCTGAATATCAGGTTTTTTTACAAGTAAAATATGAGGATAAATTATTCCTGCTTTATGTGGTTAAAACATTAATCACTATATTTAAGGAAAACTGCACATAGGAAGCATTCAGTTATTAGTTATTCTCTCCCTTTATAAAGTAAATAATAATTACTTTCAGCTTTTTTGGCTTATGGGTCTGATCCCATTGGAAGGAACAGGCATTAATCTCTACACTCTACTGAGGAGACATTTGACACAGTTTATTTTCCTCTCTGATAAAGTTATTGCAGAAGACATTGGCTCAATTTACATTTTCTATCTATCTCTGTTGATATCTCTGCTGCAGGCCTCCTCAAGTACTTGTGGAGTGGTCCTTGACATTCACAAAAAAACTGCGGGAGAAAAGTACAAAGGCAGTCAACATGCACCAGACCAGCTCTCTGAAGAAAGAGTTAATGAACTCACTGTTCCTTGGGGAGTTGGAGGTGATAGTAAGTGGGGAGTCTGAACAGAACTAAACTGCTCTCCTCAAAACCATCAAGGACTCTCATCAGTAAGAATAAGAAGGTTTGAGATAGGGGAGCTTGGCCTTGCAGTTTTTATCTTTAAAACTAAATAATTAAAGGAGACGTGGTAGAGCAGGAAAATAGTAAACTCGTAGTGAAAAAGCATGTTTTACAGATGTGAATCTTTCAAATCTAGCTATGCAACTCAGAGATATTTTCATTTCAATATCTTCTATAACATGAAGGGGGCAGTCACTTACTTACCAGGTTGATTAGATGAGCATAAGATATTTTTAAAATAGGTGAAATAATTTTTAAAAATGTAATCCCCCATAAACAAATTAACACTCAATTCTGGATCTGGGTAAAGAGAAATTAAGATTTGAACATACAGGATGATAACAAGAAGAAGGCAAAGATCAACTCCAAGAGAATGCAAACAAATAAGGCATTCTTCTGCCTGGAGACACCTACCTTCTACACCACAGTGCAGACAGAGGAATACCAAGGAGAGCGCAATAATATTCCTGAATTGAAAAGACAGAGACTGGAATGCAGGGAGGAACAGGAGGAGGCTGCAGGGTACGAGAGAAGAAACTACCCATAGAAAAAGTTGCTGATAATAGCATAAAGTTATATCCTTGAGTTTATAACTCTGAGTTGATGAGCTTTGAGCTACACATGAGTAGGGATCTGTAAGACAAGCAGTTCTAAGAGATTGCTAGGCTGTGGACAAATGAAGGCATACCAATCTGAACTTGAGTCTTTGTTACTACCAGCACATCTAATAGGAACCCCTAAAGGAACATCCTTTAGTAATAGGAATAAATTAGGTCCTGAGTATAACATCATTAAATTCATTCAAGCAAATTTTACAACTACTTCCAAAAGATTGAGCTGATACAAAAGTAACATACCTGCTCACCAGAATAAAGGCCAACACAGTATAAAGAAATACAACAAAATCTTGCATAAACATATACAATTCAAACTACTTATTATCAAAATAAATTGCTTAACATGTGAAAAAGTAGGAAAAAGTGATCTACATCTCAAAAAAATCAGTAAATAAAAGCAGACCTATAGATGACAGAGATAAAGGATTTAATAGACAATAATTTTAGAATATTTATTATTAATAGATTATGAATAGATTGAAGTATGTAAAGACACGAAGAATATAAATTAAAAGGCATAAAGAAAACAAAGTAGAATCTCTAGTTTTAAAAAATGAAGTACTTGAAATTTAAAAAGTAATTGGATGGATTACCAACAGATTAGAAACTAACAGAAAAGAAAATATCAATGAAGTTGAAGACATAGCAATAGACACCATCCACAGTAAAGGACCAAGGGAAAAAAGACAAAAAAATTTAAAACAAGCAAAAGCATTAAATAATAATTTATCAGATCCTTAGTAATCTGTAGGAAAATATCAAATATTACAACGTGTATTACTGGGGTACCATCAAGAGGGAAGAGAGTTGGGAAACAGAAAAAATGATATAATAAGGCAAAATGATTGTTAAAAACCACATACTTACAGATCCAAGGAGTTCTATTAAACTTAAGAGGACGAAAATCAAACTAAGCAAATTTCAGGTAATCATAATCAGTTGCCTAATACAGTATAAAGAGAAGATCTTAAAGCTCTAGAATAAAAAAAAAAACTATAAACAGGAAAGCAAAGATAAATATATCACAGTTTCATTAGAAACTATTCAAATAAGAAAAGGGTGAAATTACATTTCCAAAGTGCATTTTCAAACAACAATTAAAATATGCTTTGAAAATAAACACGAAGCCAAAACTCTTTCAGAAACACTAAAGCTAAGAGAATCTATGAGTAGTGAACCAACACAGCCAGACATACTAAATAAAGTGCTTCAGTCTTAAAGAAATGATACCAGATAAAATTTGGACTTATCAGAGAACCCTAATAATAAATATATGCATAAATGTTAAGTAGTTTTATTTTTATAATTTTATAATGATTATTATGTAAAACACAATTAACAACACTGTTTTATAGATTTTATTGCATATTTAGAAGTAGAATGTATGATTTCAAAAGCACACAGGAGAGGAATAGGAAATAAAAGTGTGTCGATGTAACTTTTAACCCTACACGAAAAGTTGTTTAATGTTACTTAAAAATACACCATGATTATTTCAAGATATATATTTCAAATTTCAGAGTAATTATTTAAAAAATGAAACATAATTTTATCACTACTATTCCAATGGTAAAAATAAAATGGAATACTAAAAATATACTCATGTAATCTAAAAGAAGGTATGGGGAGAAAAAAATTTAAAAAATGAAGAAAACAAATAAAAGTATGGTAGATTTAAACCTAACAACATAAATAATTACATTAAAGATAGATGGTCTTAATGCTCCAATTAAAAAGCAACATGATCAAACTTAATAATAAACAAAGCCCTACTTGTCTGGTAGGAAACCAATTTAAATATAAAGATATTATTATTATCTTAAAAGTACAGGGTTGGGAAAACATAGTAATATAATATTAATAAAAATATAACTGGGGTGGCTATAATAACATCACTAGAAATCAGAATTCAAATAAGAAATATGACAGGGGTTAAAAAAGAAGAAAAACATTTTATAATCATACAATTATGTAACACTTTATAAAGTTGTTAATTCCTCATGAAGACATAACTATCCTAAACTTCTATGTACCCAATAAGATAACATAAAAATGCATAAAACTGAAGCTGAAAAACATGAATGGAAAAGAAAATCTACACATATACTTGGAGATAACTATAATACTCTTACAGTAATTGCTAGAACAAGTAAATAAAATATAGTAAGAGTAACTCAAAAAACACTATTAATCGTGTTGATTTAACTGACACATTTACAAGAATTCAAAGTAAGAAAATATGTGCACACGCATTACTTATCAAGGTAGATTCATCAAGATAGACCATAAAATGGGCCCTACAATGAGTCTTAATATATTTTAAATGATTGGAATTATACAGGGTATTTTTTTATTAAAATGTAAGCAAAGTAGAAATCAATAAGAGAAAAGTATCTGAAAAATTTTCAAATGTTTTGAAATAAAACATCACAACTTGAAATAACACGTAGGCCAAGTAGGGAATCACATAGGAAATTATGAAATATTTTTAAGTATCTTATAATGAAAGCAAACACATCAAAATCTGTATGTAAAGTGAATTACAATTCTTTAAAAGATTAGTTTTGAGTCCTTATATTAACAAAGAAATAAGTCCCAAATTCAATTACCTCGGATTCAAGAGTAAGACAAAAGACTAATGTAAAAATTTAAAGTTGGCATTAGAATAAAAATAACGATTTAAGAGATCAATGTAATAGACAACAGAAAAACAGTGAAAAATATAAAAACAAAACTTAGTTCTTCTAAAAGAAAAATAAAACTAATAATATACATATACTGATTGAAAAAATAGAAATAATTATCAATATCAGAAATTAAATATTAGTAATCACTAGAAAATCTGCCAACATTAAACAGATAGTAATGGAATATCATGAAAATGTTATCCCAGTATATAAGTTAAACTCCTACTGGACAAACTTAAACTTAACTTGAGTCTATAACAAACTCACAATGGACAAATTCCTGGAAAGACAAAAACTAACCAAGCTTACATAAGAAGCCTTATATTTATGAAAAGCTTAGCTAAAAGCCTTCCAACAAATTAAATAAGCCCAGATGGCTTCACTAGTTAATGCTAATAAACACTTAAAGGGCAATAAATCAACCCTACCTGCACTATATCAGCACTCAGAGCATGGGAGTACACTTCCCAAGTGATTTTATGGTGCCGACATTAGCCTGATGCCAAAACCAGAAAAAAAAAGACGTTTAAAGAAAAGAGGACTATAGACAACTTTCTCTCATCAACATAGATGCAAAAGTCATAAAGAAAATATAAGTTAATCAGCTGAGGAACACACTCGTAAGTGAGTTACCACATGCTGACCCACTGAGATTTAGCCCAGGAATGCAAATTTAGTACATCATTCAAAAATCAACTAATGTAGCTTACCATGTTGAAATCCAAAAAAGAAAAAGAAAAAAAACACATAATAATCTCAACAAATGAAAAAAAAAAATTGAAAAATTTTTCACATTCAAAATTTTTAAATTTTCATTACAAAAACTCTGAATAAATTAGGTATAGAAGGAATATATCTGAACACCATAAAGGCAAACTCATAGCAAGCATCATATATATGACACAAACTCATAGCTAACATCACACCAAACTCATAGCTAACATATGACAAACTCATAGCTAACATCATATCAAACAGGGAAAAGTTGAAATATGACAAACTCATAGCTAAAATCATACCATTTCTCTTTACACATAATGAGATTATTAAGCAGCCCAGGCAGACTCTAATCTGGAAAAACATCCCAAAAGATAAGACTAAACTTTCTATTGCTCATTTTGAGTAAATCATCTCTAATTAGTCACTGAATGAGTAGACTAGTAATAATGAGTTCTTACTCTAGGCCGGTTACTCTGTTAAGTTATTAGAGGCAGAAAGATGACCAAAATGTCACCTCAATCCTCAGGGTGCTTACAAACAATTTGGAGTGAAAAGAGTATACAGAGATGTAACACTCTTTTGTTTGTCCAGAAATATCAAATAATAGGAGAACCTTAAAATCAAGAAGGAAGAAATCTTCCTTCTTGATTGACGCACCATCATCTAAGCCCAGGGCATAAAACCCCTCGTGGCTTGGATAGAAACCAGGACTCTTGGCCTCTGGAATGTGTCTAGACTTGCTGGCTCCTTGCTCCTTGCTCTCCCAGAATAGATTGTATCTTGAGTTAAAAGAACCTTTATCTCAAGTAGCAGAGCATATGGTAAACTGTCACAGCTGTAAATCATGTGCTTAATGCAACGCGCCCTTTTGACCCCCACATTCTCACCACCTGTTTCTTTGATCACCAATAAATAGTCTGGGCTTCCAGAGCTTGGGGCCTTCACTGCCTCCATACTTAGCGATGGCCCCCTGGACCCACTTTCTCTCTCAAACTGTCTTTTCTCATTCCTTTGACTCTGCCGCACTTCGTCACCCCCACAACCTTGTGTTTGGTCCGATCACCCCAACCACCTACATTCCAGGGGATATATGAAATCGCCTAGATGTCCAGGCAGAAGTTTGCTGCAGAGGCAGATTCCCCATGGAGAACCTCTGCTAGGGCAGTGCAGAAGGGAAATGTGGGGTCGGAGTCCCCAGAGTTCCCACTGGGGCACTGCGTTGTGGAGCTGTGAGAAAGGGCCACTGTCCCCCAGACCCTAGAAGTGTAGATCCACCAACACCTTTCACTGTGTGCCTGAAAAAGACACAGACATTCAACCCCAGCTCATAAAAGCTTGTGGTAGGGAGGCTGTAACCTGCAAAGCCACAGGGGCAGAGGTGCCCAGGGCCATAGGAGGCCACTTCTTGCATCAGTGTGCCCTGGATATGAGACATGAAGTCAAAGGAGATCATTTTGGAACTTTAAGGTTGAATGATTGCCCTATTGGATTTCAGACTTGCATGAGGCCTGTAACCCCTTCATTTTGATCAATTTCTCCCATTTGAAATGGGTGTATTTACCCAGTACTCCAGTGTATTTAGGAAGTAACTAACTTTCTTTTAATTTTACAGGCTCATAAGTAGAAGAGACTTGTCTTGTCTCCAGTGAAACTTTGGACTTGGACTTTTGAGTTAATGCTGGAATGAGTTAAGACTTTGGGGGACTGTTGGAAGGGCATTATTGTGTTTTAAATTATGAGAACATGAGATTTGGGAGGAACCAGCAGCAGAATGATATGGTTTGGCTGTGCCCCCACTCAAATTTCATCTTAAATTGAAGTTCCTATAATCCCCACATGTTGTGGGAGGGACAAGGAGGAGCTAATTGAATCATGGGGGCAGCTTTCCCCATACTGTTTTTATGATAGTGAGTGAGTTCTCACAAGATCTGATGGTTTTATAAGGGGCTTTTCCCCCTTTTGCTCTGCACTTCTCCTCGCTGCCACCATGTTAAGAGGGATGTGTTTTCTTCCCCTTCCACCATGGTTGTAAGTTTCCTGAGCCAACCCAGCCCTGTAGAACTGTAAGTCAATAAAACCTCTTTCCTTTATAAATTACCCAGTCTTGGATATGTCTTTAATAGTAGCATGAGAATGGACTAATACACAGCACTACTGCACCAGTCACCCAAAAAGCCAAGATCTCACGACATTTTATCTTTCACAAATACAAAAGTACAAAAAGGACTTATCTTCATCTACCAAACAAGTGTCAATGTTTCTGTATTCACATGCTATGCTTACACACAAAGTCAACATTGTGATAATGCATTTTCGTGGAGTCTCTTTTGAAAAAAAATACATATAATGAATTATAATTCTCCAAAACTTTTAAAACAATTTATACCCTAATTACTGGAAATGATGAGAAGATGATATATACAGCACAGTGAAGCATGAAACAATAGTGGTAATCAATGTAAAATATTTTTAAAAATCAGCAAAAACAAAAAGAAGGATCTAGAAAAGAAAATAAAACAACAACTCAAAAACCTAAAACAAAAATTGACATGTGAAAAAACATATTGTAGAAATAGATTACGGGCAATTGCACAGAGACAGTCCATAAGAGCTGGCCATCTTTCACGAACATTACCTATATTTTGAAATCTTGAATCACAGGGAGTAGCAATTTTTTTTTTTTTCCTTTTAAGACATTCATTTTCTACTAGGCAGTGCTGTTGCTGTTTGAAATTCTTCAATGATTCAGTATACACTTACATAAGAATTGCTTATTTAATTTTCCCACTGTGCCATGCTTCTATGTTTTGGGGGCATATGTGGACATCTATTCCAAATGCATTCACATACAAACCACAAATTTGGTAGAAACAATATTGGTAATTGAGTGACCACACCATTGCTCAACTGTCTTTTTTTTCTACTATGCACATAATTATTTTAGAGCCAGTTAGTAACTTCACTGTTTTATTCAAGCAAATATGGCTTTAATTCATTGAAAACTCCTGGAATGTCATAACCTGGAAAAAATTCCACTGCAGACAAATAGCACATTTTTAAACTTAAGTTTTCATCCTTGCCATATCATATTGGCTTCCAAACATGTGAATTTTTGTCAAATGTATTGAGATAAATGAACAAAACAAATTTTATTGGTAATACCTTGAAATTCACTTTTAGAAGCCTTGATTGCACTTTACTTCAAATCTGTCATTGTGGCTTGGGAATTCAATTAAAATCCATTTTCTTCTGCATGAAGACAATAACAAGATAATAGTTGTACATAACATTTTGCAACTATCCTATAATTGTAATTTTCAGTATTTAAGATGTTAGATATTTTAGACTTTAAGGATTTAGACTTTTGGTATTATGGTGTTTGAGGTTGTGTCCTTTGGGATTATGAGGCAAACCCTATGTATGGAAACAATTAGTTCAGCTGGTCGTTTATAAAAGAAGAATGAAAATTTGGAGTGTTTGTATCTGGCCTTATCATAGGTAAACAAGATGTTCACCTTCGAATCCCATCCTTCTATGCTAGGTGTAGTCCTTAATTTATCCTCAGTGATTTTGCTGAAAGGATAGAACATGATTATTCAATCCAGATTTTTTTTTTTACTTATTGTCTTCGTAAACGTGCTTAAATATCCAAGCCCTTTAGGAGCCACTTTTCTCTTCTGTGTATTATGAATAATATCACTTACCTGAAATGGTCATATGAATAAGTAACAGTATCCTTTACATTACGACATTTATTAAATACCAGTAGTTTTGTAATAGAGAGGAATGTCTCCCTGCCTGGTGTCTCCACCTTGTACGTAAGAGTTAGCAAGTAGTTCAGACTTCCAGGAGAAGATGGTCTATGGATAGTAAAATAATAAATTCAGGAAAAAAAAAACTGACCTTCTGATCAAAAGTCCTGAGTTATAGTACCAGTGCTACCTAATCTTTACCATGTGGTCCTAAACTCATCAAATAACCTGAGAAATAAAATCTACTTTGCTGTCCTTAAAGGGACAGGATTTTAAGGGAATCAAACACATTTAAAGTAAAATTTTATTCATCTTAAATTTGCTAATATAAATGTCATCGATATTATTTTGCATCAAAAAGGCTAATTTCTTTCTTTATTTTGACAAAGAATCATTTGATTTTTTAAAGCAAGTAACTCCCTATTAAAAAGCAGCAATTTATGCAGGAAAAAATGCATGCTACTGTCCCCTATGACTCTTTCAGCAAAAACATTGCTTGTTTTCTCCAATTGGGCTAATTGATTTTAAGCAATTAATCAGTGCAAGTAACATGTAACTAGTTATTTAGCTTACTATCCAGTGCTGCTCCCTTGAGAGCCATTAGAATGTGAATTTACATCCTTTGATAAAGAAGTAATGGCAGAAGAAGACCAAAGATTTTATATTTTTAGAGAAAATGAAGCTGCAGAAAGGAGAGCTTCAGCAAATGGATTCTGAGAACTGGTTATTTGGAAGTAATTTATGCCACTTTCTTATTATACAAGTTTAGGAAATAAAGTAACTATCAATAATTTTAAAAAACATCTGTAATCTTACTACTTATCACTACAACTAATGATTTTATATATTCTGTTCTAAATTTACATGCATCCACATACCCAAACACACACACGTTTCCACATCCAAAATGTATTAATCTGTACAGCATATGTAGCTTGAGTGGCCATGGTGCACACCTGGGAACACAAAAGTTCATAGTATGTGATTTCTTGAACAGTAATGGGAAAGACAAATATTAATTATATAGTTACCCAAATAGATACTCAATCACAAAGAGATAGTTGACCTACACGAAATATATACATTACTTAGGCCATATCACAAAGAAATTTGACTCAGGACACCAAGAAATTTTTCCTGAGAAAGCAATATTTTGAACTGGTACCTAAAAGATGAAAAAGGGATTAACCTATATGAATGGTAAAAGAAGTGAGGGCTGATACAGTAGTTTTATAAGATTCAGCCATAGCATTAGGCAGGAACCAGACCATGAAGCTGCTGTGGACAATACTAAGACACCTAGCCTGGATCCCCAAAGCAATGGGAACCACTGAATTGTTTCCAGCAGAGGAGACATCCACAGTTTTAATGGTTTCAATGTGGAAAATATATTGCACTATATCCTATAAATATATACAAATATAATTTGTCAAAATATAATAAATAAAAAATAAATGGCACAAAATACATGACCAAAAAATGGAGTAGGGAGATCAAATTGTCATAGCACAGTAGAGTTATTAAGTATCTTCATCTGGAGCAAAATAAAGATATGGTAAATAGGATTAGGTGAACTGAGGAGAGATTGCAAATACCACAGAGGTCTTGGTAACAGAATAAGCATGAGGAGGAAGGAAGAGAAAAGTGTTAGAGAAGGCCCTTGGGTCACCAAGTAGGTGGATTGAGTGATATTCAGCGATAACAAGCACCAGACAAAACCCATATGATAGCAGAGGAGAGTCAGAGGAGCATCAGTTAGCGTTGGGTGTGCTGAGTCTGTGATGCCTTTAAGACCTCTGTATGAAGTACTCAATTACGGAGTTGGAACTAGAACTAGGAAAACTGACTGGGATAGCAATATGAATTTGGGTACCATTCCAAAAAGATAGGTTTTGAAAATTTTAACATTGATATTGTTGTCTAAGAGAGAGAGAAATTAATAAGAAAGCTTTATGGGATAATGGACAAAGGATATAGCTGAGACATTTACAAAAGGATAATATGAAAGAGCTAATAAGAATATCATGATATGTCCAACTCCACTGTAATTTAAAAAATGAATATTAATACATAAGTGAAATTCCTTTTTATATCCATCATAATACCAAATAATTAGACAGCGGGATAAAATCAAATGTTGGTGAAGATACAGAGAGACAGACACTTCTTTGAAATTAGAAATTACACATATTTCTGGCTATCAATCAAGTACCAGTTAGTGAATTCCAGTCCGAGTGTGTTCCATAAATGAGAAATCTCACTCCTGCATATATGTATTCTGAGAAACCCCCACTGGTCCATTAGAGAACTTCTATGAGGAAACTGTTCTGTTGCTTTTCATAGCAAGGACTCCGTGACAATTTACCTGTTCAACTCACCTGTTCAATACTGGGGGAGCTTATAAGTAAAATTCATCGACATCACTATGGAATACTCTGCAGCAGTCAGAAGCAACAAACCAGATGTGCATTTGACCATATGCATGAATCTTAAAGATTGGTATTGGGTAAAACTGGTAGTTTGAAAAGGGCTGAGGAAATAAAGCATATTAAAAGACAAACAGTAATCAAAAATGTCAGGCACTACTGAGAAGTAAGACGAATTCTGAAGTATGCTCAGTGAATCTGGTGCTGTGAACCACTGACACAACATTCACCACATTGGGAGCTATTTCAGTGAAGTGACTGAAGTAGAAGTCAAAGTAGAATGATTTGAAGAATAAATGAAAACAAGGAGTCTGTTTGCTGGAGCAGAATATGAAGCTGAAATAAATTGTGTTGTTGTTCTTTTAAGATTGGAGATGTTTAGGTGAAAATTCCTGATGGAAGGACCCATATGAGAGAACAATAGCAGAGAGGGAAAATTGCAGGAACGTTCAGATGAAAGGTTTCAGCATGCTGTGTATGCTATGCAGGAAGTATTGCCTATCCCCAGGAATTCTCTGTATATTTGAATCCATGAGCAGTTATTTCAGCAATAAAGTGAAAATGATTGGCTTTTTATTGTAATTATTTATTTTGTTTCTGTCTTTGTGAACAAGTACGAGGAAAAGAGATGGAACTTAGCTCCAATAAAATTGAGGGTTTGAATTCTGTCCTTAATTAATTAACATTGTGGCCTTGAGGATTCCTCCTTACATCAGCTTTCTCATCCATAGATGTGAATAAAATGCTATTTTCCCACAGGATGATACAGAAAGTTAGGTGAGTTAATGAATATTACATACTTAGAAGATTACCTGCAACATAGTACATATTGAATAAAATATAATTGTACAGTTCTCAAAAAAGCATCTGTTCCAAAGCTGGCAGAAACTCTGCTTGGATAAGTCCTATTGAAAGTCAAAGCTTTACTGGTGATTAAGGATCTCTCAAGAATAATTTTGACAATACTTAGTTTTTATTTTAAGAGCTGGCAAAATACTTAAATACTTGCATGTATTCTGGCTTTTAGAAGTTGCAAATCTTCACATTTAGGTTTTTATATCACTCCAAGTTTTTTCCTCTTAGCAAAAGCATAAATAAATGCAGAATAAAGGCTGTGTTAATTAGATATGCATATCAAAAACTTTGAGACTTTAGGAAAAGTTGGAATTATTCTCAAAAGGGCCACTTAGGCATGAGGAGGCACCGAGAGGACTTGGAAAGATGATAAGGGATTACAATTAGTGGAACAAAACAATGAAGCCTATACGTGTCATGCTTTTTAGTCTCATGTCCTTTGTGAGAAAGTACTCTGCTTCTGCATTTTAGAGCTATGCAAGTTTCTGTGAGATGTACACCTCTGAAGCTGAATGTTCTGACAACACTTGTAAGAGGTTGAGATAGTAAAGGAAAACTGGCCTAAGAATCGCAGGAACACTGATGTTGAGCAGTGGGGGTCCTGGACTGGGGATGTTGCCTGTTGGCCATGATGGGACAGATGTAGAATTAAGAATCATCACATAATAGAGAATATTTCCACGGCTAAAGCATCAACAAAGAATTGCCTAAAATGAAGAAGCATCCTGAGGAGCATTAAACCTTTGAAGTAGACATGTGGGCTTTGATGAGATAGAATTCCAGCAGGTGGAAATAAGAGGGAGCCTTATACATTTTACAACTTATACTCTTAGCTTTATCCCTAGACTTACAAGCCACGAGAAACACTGTTACAATAAGTACGCGACTTGTCAAGAAGAAACAACACATCTCAGATGCATACCAAATTACCCTGCTGCTGACTGCTATTATTTAGGATTCATCCCATGGTTAAAAACTCCCATTATAATGAACCTTGAAACAAAATAAATAATGACATCTCAGCTCCCCTTAAAATATGTCAGCCAAGTACATTTTGGAATCCAATACTCTAATTTATTACTTATTAATTTGTAGAAAGTCATTAGTTGTGATGGGTTTTCCTAAAGTTCATGTTATTTAATATGCCCAAACTAGATAATTTTATCATTATATTTTGAACTAGCTTGAAAAAGAGCTGAATTGCAGGATTTCAGAGGGGACTTATGACCAGATGTTGGTAAAGGTATGTGAGACAATAGCAGCACCCATTTTGGCTCCTGTATTTGAGTGTATGACTTTTTTAGGAATCTCCATCTCTGTCAATGAAATGTAAGATCTGTAAGATCTATGAGAAGAAAAACCAGCTTTGTTTCTTTGATCATAGTTGCATTCCTAATCCTAGTGCAGTATCCTAGTGCAGTATCTTAGTTATCAAATAAGTAATATTTTAATTAAAAATGAAATGAATTAAAAGCAAAAACCAAACTTATTTCATAAAGCTTTAAATTTCTGAGGGGATAGAGATAGCAGGGAGAGGACAGTGAGATTTCAAGGAGTTAAATGCTTGTTTTAAGTTAAGCATGGAGCTAGAGAGGCATAGACTATGAGATGATGGGAATAAGAATGATCAATATCTTGAAGAGTTACTAGGTGAGATTTCAAGCAATTTATTCTTATTGGGATCTCTGACATGCAAGCTATAATGTAATAAAATAAGCTAAACAGTATTCATAATAGTTGATCTATTATTTTTGATGTATTATAACTTTCATTTAGCACTGCATTATTTTCAGTATAACTATTAAATCAAATAAAGTAAAAACTGCCAGTGGTTTACTTAACAAAAGTTTATTTCTTTTTTAAATAACTCAAAAATGCTGTTTTTTTTCTGATTAGCAGGTCACTGTTCTCTCCATGATGACTCTGGGATCCTGTGGTTCTGCCTACCTAGGGCTTTGGAATCCTCTCCATCTAGCAGGCAGAGGGGGCAAATGCATGGGAAAGCTACACCTGCTTCTTAAAATGATGGTCCCTAAAAGGACATGGGCTTATGCTCACATTCTTTTGACTAGAACTCATACATGGCCAGAGACAACTGCAAAGAGAATGGAGAAATGTTGTTTAGGGTGAGCACGAAGCCTAATGCCATGAACACAACGAATAGGTAAATATATTTTATCTATTATTTTATTATTACACTTAATGATTATTAAGCAATTGTCCCCTAGATTGTCAGGGTTGGAGGCCTGAGTCCATCTTTCCATTGTCTTTGCAACTTCAATATGTCATATGAGCCTGTTGTGGCAGAGACCACTAGATGCCCACCAAAGTCTCCTTTATTTGTTTTTTTCTTGGACACACAGCTACATTTACATTCTCCAGCTTCCTTTGCAGGTAGCTGTAGCTACCTGCAGTAGTACATTAACTACTCCTCTCCAGCAACAATGTGAAGGGAAATCATTTGTGCTATTTTATGGCCATGAAAGTAAAACAAAACAAATAAAAACAAAATCTTGCATGGTACTCCTCCATTAAATTCCAATTCCAACTGACTGAAGGTTTGATGGACAGGATGACCTTAGGAGCCACTTGGTGAAGGTAGGAAAGCAGCTATTGACCTCAATCTGTGAATAAGTTCTTAGGAGCTGGAAGCTTCCCTGGACTATTAAATGAAAAATAAATCAAGTTCTTCTTCTTTAAGCATCTAAAATTTTGGGCTTATTTGCTACTGTTACTTGGACTATACTAACTCATACAGCATGACGACGATAGAAGGCTATTGGGTCACACAGTTGGGCACATAGAATTTGGAGACAGACATGAGGCCTCATTTACTTGCTGGAGATTGACCTTTCATAAGCAACAGAGCTGAATATTAAACACAGTTTTGCCCATTACCAAATCTGTTGATCCTTCCTCTGTACATTACTGCCTCTCATATGCCTGTAGTTTCTCTTATACCATGGTTTCCCACGAGACACCCTTGGTGTCTTTTGGCATTGTCATAGAGAAAAATATGATTCTGTTGCTAACTTAAGCTGTTGTTATGGGCAGAACCAATATTTAGTTTTCTGGTCTTACTTGTGAGATTCTCATTCAAAACTTCAAAGGTTGAAGTGTGGGCAGCTGGCATGTTTTATGTCTCTTCAATTTTATACTTGATAGAAAAATTTTACTGCTACTGAAAAAGTCAGAGGGCATGTGGCTAATATTTATAGCTTTTGTTATGCAAGTGCATAAATGGTAATTTTGCTAATAATTTAAAGCAAGATGCTAGTTTAAAAACTATGGAACACCTTGAAATAAATGGTGTTTCCCTGAAATGCCCCAACTACTGAATAAGTAACTCACCATGAATAAGTTATTTTCCTAAGTAAATTAGGAGAGAAATCCAATTTAATTCTATTTATTCAATAAATATTTATTTAGGGTTAAGTAAGACCACTTGAAAAAGAGAGCGGAATAATGAATTATTTCTGCTTGAAGAAATACAAATTTTAGGAGGTAGTATAAGAACGTTTTAAGCACATAGAGCTTAACTTGCCTATGGCCTTTCGAGGAAGCATGCATGGTAGCATTGTGTGGGTTACAGCGATGCAGACCAGGAAATCCTGGAGGAAGAAGCTAGATTTAGAGATGTAAGCAGGTGACAGTGCTATAGAATGAAGACAGATAATTCCAGATCAAGGGAACAATTAAAACAAAGACATGGTGAAGGGAAAAGAGTATGAGATTTTCTTAGGAAAAATCAAGAAGTTTGATTGTCTTAAGGGCATGACACGTGTAAGAGGAATGGGGAGACAAGATGACTTTAAAAGTTTGTTGTCAAAAAAAAAAATGAAGGCTCATGAATTCCATCCCGAAATGTTTTGAATTATAGTTTGATAGTGTGGAGGGTTCACTTAGCATGTTGAGGATGGAGTCAATGTAAATGGAAGTATATACATATATCTCATATATATATATATGTATATATAGTCTATAAGATAAATATATCATATATTTCTTATATGTCTTATATAGAGTCTATAAGATATATTTATCTTATAGACTATTTATTTTTGAGCTTTCTGATATATTGATGCTGGGCATGAATGAAGAGTAATAAAGATAGCAGGATATCAAATGGAATACCATAGAATATAAGATCACCAATAAAACATAAAAGAAGCACTTTCTAGATTAAAAATGAAGTTTATCATTTTGAAATGATTCATTGCATCTCTCCAGAAAAACATTCATACTCCAACTCCTCCATGGACTATAGGTTTTGTACTACTGAGGGAAAGCTGAATTTGGAAAGTGGAATGTGAAATGATGAATATTAAATAGATGAAGATTTCAAGTTCTAATTTTCATAGTATATTTTTTCTAGCCATCCATCATACCATCAATGGCATACCCGACTAGATGAACTGAATCATGCTGTAGTAACAAAAGATAGTGAGGTTCTTAGAGATTTATTGGAAAAATAACTTCCCTCCTCCTCCAAAAAATACCCTTGACTCTGAGACTCATTTCTCCACTCAGATGTTTTTACACTATATTTGAGAGCCATGCACTGATTTAGTTCTAGCCAAAGGCCTTTTCTCAGTTTTATATTTTATTGCTCTTGTTGAGAAGCAGTCACCTCTTGCAACTCTGCAAGTCCTCACATTTCTGGTTTACTTTTATTTCCTTTTCATGATTCAAGCCAAGCCAAGCCTTTTCTCAACTCATCTTTTTCTTATAATAACTTGTCAAATACGATCAATAGGAACTATCACACTGTATTATGTTTTAATTTCATTTCTTTTCCCTAGAGTTAATACTTTATGAGGAAAGAAACTACACTAAAACTCCAGTTTTAGACCCTGTTTTGAACAAGGCATAAGCCCATTTTTTTCTTGCCTCTCTGCTAAGCATAGCTATAAAAATAGCACAAGAGAAAACTAAAGAAGAAGGCTAAAATGTGCTAAGAATGTAAGCTGTTTTGAGACTTGAGAAGGGGAAGAGGATAACAACAGCAGGATCCCCCCACTCCAGACCCTCTAATTTAGAAGAGAAGGTGGCCCAGGTAGGCTTATTCTTCTGCCAGATTGACCATGAGTCCTTCTGACAGCATGTGAGTCTCACGCCACCACTAAGGGAAGAGTGAGTGAGTGAGTGGGAGCTTTGCCAGAATTAAGTGGCCAGGAGAGTTCGTCTCTTTCCATGCTGTGTCTAAGGCTCATCTTTTCCACTGAGAGACACGTAGGCAGCCTGCCTGATGGAATTGGAAACAATCCCCAGCCACAGCAAGTGCTCTGACATAGCAATCTTTCTTTTCCCTAGGAGCCTGAGACCCTCCTGAAACCAAGTCATGGAGGTAGCTAGGATATGCCAAATGGGAGATCCCACAACAGTCCTCACTCACTAAGGGATACCTGGAGAAATTGGCCTTGACAACATCAGCAGTAATCAATGGGAGCCCCAGCAGAAGGAACAGACAAACCAAGCAAGCCAACACAGCAGTGAAGAAGCTCCGTAAATTTAATTGCCTTTGAAACACAGCCCACAGAGTTAGGTGAAGACCCGCATGCTAAACTTAAATAGGGTGAATGCTGACTTAAATAAACTATATAAATAGACCCACAGTCTCCTACCACAATAGGCAAAATGTTCAGGATACAATTCAAAATAATTAGATATATCAAAATTCAGGAAAATTGCAACTTCAGTGGCAAAAAAAATAAATGGATGCCAGCACTGAGATAAATCAGATATTGAATAGATTTAATAAGAAATTAATGAGAGGCATCAAAATAGTGTTTGAATAATCCATTACAAATTCTTTTGCAACAAATAAGAATACATAGAAAAAAAATCAAGAAAGAAATTGAGATCTAAAAAATAACAAATGGAAATTATTGAACTAAAAAAATAAATAACCAAACCAAAGCAAAACAATCTTCTCTGGCTGAATTCATGAATAAAGGTCAAATGGCAGAGGATTCAATTAGTAACCATGAAGATGAAATAACACAACAGAGAAAATAACGAATAAAGCCTAAAGGATCTATGGGATACTAAGATCCAGTATTTATATCATCAGAGTCCCATAAGAAAATGAGAAATTAAAAGAGAATGAAAGAGTATTTGAAACAATATTTTGTACAAATCTTTCAGCTTTGGTGAAATAAACAAACATACAGATTCCAAAGGTTGGGCAAACTCCAAACAGAAAAGTTTATAATAATAAATATATGTGCACAAAATATATATTCCTAAAGCAACAGACCATGAAATACATAAACAATCTCATAGAGTTGAAAAGATAAATAGACAAATCTACAATTATATTTGGGGACTTCAACACACTCGCAAAAACAAGAGAACTACTAGCAAATATGTAGAAGGTCTGAATAACATAATCGACCAACAGTGTCTAACTGGTGTATATAGTACAATCTACTCAACAAAAGCAAAATACACTTTTTTATTCAAACAATTATGGAAAATTAATCAAGATAGACAATATTCTAGGCCATAAAACAAACCTAAACATTTTTAAAAGATTTAAAATGATGCACAGTTGATGAGAATGTAAAGTTGTACAACCACTACGGAAACCAGTGTGGAGTTTCCTTAAAGATCTAAAAGTATATCTACCATTTGATCCAGCAGTTCCACTCCTGCATAGCTACCGCAAGGTTATTACACAAAAGTCATTATATGAAAAAGATATTTGCACACACATGTCTATAGCAGCAAAATTCTCAATTGCACAAATATGGAACCCGTCCAAATGCCCAACAATCGATGAGTGAATAAAGAAAATGTGATATATGTATATATATATGTATATATACACACACACACCATGGAAGACTACTTAGCCATAAAAAGGAACAAAATAATGGCATTTGTAGCAACCTGGATGGAATTGGAGACCATTATTCTAAGTGAAATAACTCAGGAATGGAAAACCAAACATCATATGTTCTCACTCATAGGTGGAAGATAAGCTATGAGTATGCAAAGGCATAAGAATGATATGGTGTACTCTGGGGACTTAGGGGAAAGTGTGGGAAGAGTGTGAGGGATAAAAGACTACATATTGGGTACAGTGTATAATGCTCAGGTGATAGGGTGCATCAAAATCTCATAAATCACCACAAAAGAACGTATTCATGTAACCAAACACTACATGTTCCATAGAAACCTATTGAAATAAACAAAAAATGTATTGTACATTTTTAAACAAATAAATAAAATGTTGCAGAGTAAGCTCTCTTACAATAATTGAATCAAACTATAAATATATAACATAAAGAAAACAGAAAAACATCTCTAAACATGGAAACATTAAACAACACCCTTCTAGATACTCCCCTGGCCAGAGAGTAAGTCTCAAAGGAAATTTTAAAAATATATATTACTGAATGAGAACATAATATATCAAAATTTGTGGGACTTGGTTAAAGAGCAATTGAGAGAAAAACTTATAGCACTGAATGCCTGCATTGAAAATGAGGAAAAGTCTCAAATCAATAACCTATGTATCTACCTCAGGAAACTTGACAAAGAATGGAAACGTAAACTCAAAGCTATAATGAAGGAAATATAGATAGGAACAAACTCACTGAAATTGAAAATAAGAAGCAATAAAAATAATAAACAAAACAGCTAGCTTATCAATAAAATTAATAAACCTCTATTAATTTTATCAATACAATTAATAAGACTAATAAAATAAGAGAAGATACAATTTCCCAAGAATCAAAATAATATTGTGTATCACTACATATCTTGCATCCATTCAAAAGATTGTAAGAAAATATTACAAACAATTTTATGCTCATAAATCTGAAAACTTAGAAGAAAGGAAGTGACTCGTCAAAGACTACAAGCCACCAAACTCAACCAAGATGAAATAGACAGTCTTAGACGCTCTATAAAGATAATTTTGCAAAATGTAAAAAAAATTAAAAAGAATCACCATGAATATTGAGCAATTTTTTCCAGAAAGTGTAAGAAAGAACACTTCCCAAATCATTTTATGAGACTAGTATTACCTTGATAACAATATCAGACAAAGACAGTACAATAATGAACTGTACACCAATATCTTGTGACTTTAGACACAAAGGTCTTGAATATAATATGAGCCAATTGAATGATAAATGTGTAAAAAGAATTATACACTATAGCCAATTAGTATTTATTCCAGGGATGCAAGGCTGTTTTAACATCTGAACAACAGTCAATACAATCCATCATTTAAACATGGTAAAGAAGAAAAATCATTTGATCATATTAATTGTCAAAAGCCAACAGCAATTCATAACAAAACTCTTGTTTTAATTAATAAACTTAATTTTTGGAGCTGATTTAGGTTCACAGCAAAATTGATTTGGAAAGTACAGAGTTCACGTATATCTCCTGTCCCCATGAAAGCACAACCTCTTCCACTATCAGCATCATGCACCAGAATGGTACATTTGTTACAACTGATGAACCCACGTTGACACATCACATAATACAACTATTAGGGAAATAAGAGTAGAGCAGAGTTACCTCAATTTGATTACAGAGCATCTACAAAAACGCTAGAGCTAACATACTTAATGGTGAAAGACAATGATTTTCCCCTAAGATTGGGACAAAGGCAAGATATTTACTCTCATGAAGTTGATTCAACATCATCCTGGAAGTTGGTTCTAGTTTGTAATATAAAGCAAGAAGAGGAAATACAGGACATACAAATTGAAATAGAAAAAAAAAGTTGTCCCATTTATAGATGGCATAATTGTCTATAGAGGAAATTCTGAAGAATCCACCGAAACTTCATAGAACTAATCAGTCAGTTGAGTTAGGTCACAGGATTCAAGATCAACCACAAAACAATTAATCACATTTTTATGTTCTAACAATGAACCTGCTGTGTAGAAAGTAAAAATAACACTATGGAATTCACAACTGCTCAGCAGAAAATTAACTACTTAAGTATACACTTAGCAAAACATACATGCTGAAACTTACAGAAAGCTGATTGAAAAAATCAAAGACTTACAATAAATGGAGACAGACACAATAATCAGGGATTACAAGACTCTACATAACTAAGATTTCAATTCTGCACAGTTAATCTATAGATTTAGTGCAATTTCTGTCAAAATCTAAACAAGATTTTTTATAGGTATAGATAAACTTATTTAAAAATTCACATAGAAACACAAAGGCCCCATAATAGCTAAGACAATCTTGACAAAAAAAGTAGAATAAATTATTCTATTGTAATTACGCTTACTATAAAACTATAGTGATCACGTAAAATGTGATATTGGCAAAGGAATAGGCACACAGTTTGCTGGAACAGAAGACCTGGTAATAGACCCACAAAAATATGCTGAACTTGTTTTTGACAAAAGTACAAATTCAATTTAATGGAGAAAGGATAGCCTGAGGCAATTGGTTCTATGTAGGAAAAATAAAAAGTAAAAAGAAAAAAAGAGAACCTAAAACTCAGAAGTTAGACAAAACTTAAAATAGATTACAGAAAATGTAAAACAAAAAGTACAACTATAAAGCATTTAGAAATAAAGAAGAGGAAATCTAAAGGATATAGAATTAGGCAAATAATTTTTAGACTTGACATTCAGTGCACAATCTATTAAAGAAAAAATGAAATATTGGGCCTTATCAAAATTAAACACTTTTACTTCATAAAAGTACATGTGAAAAAATATGAAAAGATAAACTACAGTTTGAGAGAAAAGGTTTGCAAACAACATACCTAAAATGTATAAAACATTTTCAATTCTTAACAGTAACAAATTTTATAAAAACATAATTTGAAAGTGGACAAAATACATGAACAGTAGTTTCATCAAAGAAGACATACAGATGACAAATGAAGTCACAAAATATTGCTCAACATTATTATTCATTTGGGAAATGCAAATTAAAATACAAATTACATATTGATGGCTGCCTACTCAGAATGTGTAAGATAAAAAATGGTGACACCTTTAAACATTGGCAAGTGTGCAGAGATACTGGATCATTCTAAACATTTGGTAGTTTCTAAAACAAACAAAAAATACCTGAAGATACAACCAACATATGACCTAGCAAATGCTCTCTGGGGCATTTATCCCGCAGAAATGAAAACTTCCATTTGTAGAAAATACTGCATATGTACATTTATAGAAGCTTTACTTGTAATAGTCAAAATCTGTTTCCAGCCTGATGTCCTTGAACAGATGAATGGTCAAAAAAAACTGTGGTACATCCATATTATGGAATATTACTTAGCAACAAAATGTAACTATAGATATGCATAACAGTTTGGATGGATCTCTGGGGAATTATTTTGAGTGAAAATTCTTATAGGTTCCATATATATTTTCATTTGAAATGACAAAACTGTAGAAACAGAAGCCAGGTTAGTAATTGCTAGAGATTGGAGGAAGAGAGTTTGAAGGGAGTGAGTGTAATTATGAAAAAGCATCATAAGGGATTCTTATGACATTGTATTGTTCAGTATCTTTACTGTGGGAGTAGATATAGGAACATAAGCAGGTGATAAAATTGTAAAGAATTGAATGCATAAACAAAAGAGTAAAACTGGGGAAATCAGAATAAAATGAATATATTCTATATCTGTCAATATCTTCATTTTGATATTTTGCTATAAGTTTGCAAAATGTTGTGATGGAAGAAACTGGGTAAAATGTATAAAGGATTTCTCTTGTTATTCTTTACAAATGCATGCGACTTCACAGTTATTTCCATTTATTAAAGTTTATGTTTATTGTCTGCTGTCTGAGGTATGGTAAAATATAGTTTTACTTAAAGCTTATATAACACTTTCCTTTCCTTCTAGCCTCTGATAACTGTGTCCCTAGTGCTCCCTTCCCAGTTCCAAGCTAATGCTACATTGATGTGTATGTGTGTGCGGAGGTGGGGGATGGCTGTCGTTATGGCAGCATGTCATTGGTCATCACCAACCCCCTCACTCCAGGAGGCACTTCTGATATAGCAGTCACCAACTGGAACATTAAGGGCTACCTTTGAATATCAAGCAGTGGCCAATTTGCCCCATGTTGGCTTTATCACTTAGCCTCACATTTTGAGTAACATGACCACATCTAACTCCAGGGAGACAGAGAAGCCTCATCCTATATTATATTGCAATGAGAAGTGGAAATATTTGATAATTTCCCCTTCATTTACAAATATGAAAAAGTATTTTTTTGCTATATAATTGTCTTATGGTTTTTGACAACTGTCTTCTTTAATTTAATGTAAAACTTCATTAAGCCAAAACTATTCTAACTTAGCATCCAGGTGTGTGAAACACAGAGAATGTGGTGGGTAGTGAAGGGGGAGAGGATGAAGCTGAGAATTCTATTGAGATAAATTAACTCTGATACAGAATGAAAGACTAGAGTGGATATGAGTTAAATTCACATGAGGAAATTTTGGGTAGTATAAATGATGGCTCTAACAACGACTGAAAAGATGGGCAGTGACTGGAATCTGATGATAATGTTGAATAGATAAAACCCTGGGGCCGCTCTCTCTCTTGGTATGTGTCTACATCTGTCTATCTGTACATACATGTATACACACACATACACAATTTAAGCCATTATGATTGGGATATTCTTTACATTGCTAAATAAAACACATTAACAAGTAGAGTTTCTTTTTTTTTTTATAGAGACCAAGTCTCGCTCGGTTGCCCAGGCTGGAGTGCAATGGCGCTATCTCTGCTCACTGCAACCTCTGCCTCCTGGGTTCAAGGGATTCTCCTGTCTCATCCTCCCGAGTAGCTTGGATTACAGGCGCACACCTCCACGCCGGCTAATTTTTGTATTTTTAGTAGAGACAGGATTTCACCATGTTGGCCAGACTGGTCTCAAACTCCTGACTTTAAGTCATCCACCCTCTTCAGCCTCCCAAAGTGCTGGGATTACAGGCATGAGCCACTATGCCAGGCAACAAGTAGGGATTCTATTCCATTGTCTACCGATGGTCATAAGTATGCATTTCTTAACCTGTCAGGCGTGCCTTTATTCAAAATTGACTGACAAAAGCCTTTCCTCTTTAAATGCTCAATTTAATTGCAATTTTTCCCATTAATTATTTGGACTACAATTTATCTAGTCTGTTAAACCAGTGTGGTGATTGGATTTAGTTGATGCATTATACCATAAATTTAGTATATTTTCAAATAAATTAATGATTATTTTTACTTTTTGACACTTTTTAGCTGGCAAAAAAGAGAAATCTTTGTCAATCAGTTATTCAGGAAGGACACAGAAAGACTGAATCTCTGAGCTTTTAATACTTTATTCCTACAGACTTTATTCCATTGGATTTAATTTATAGACATCTATGTCTCCTACTAAATTAAGGCTCAGCCAAGGATTTTGATTTACTAAATTTTAACCTATAATTTTCACAAATAAAGGAAATAAAGTGCATACTCAGAGGAAAAGTAAAATAAGGGAAAGTGAAAGCCATTCCACAATGTATACATATTTCAAAACAACTTATTGTACATTGAAAAAAATATATATATATTCAATTTTTAGTTGCCAATTAAAACATGAAGAAAGAATTTGAGGGAGAATAGTAGGGTACTGTAAGGAGAGAAATACATTTATATGGGGCAATTTCTGCCTTTGAAATAATAACATTGTGGTGTTGCTGGTCTAAATAAGTTCAAATTATGAGAAACATAATAAGAAAAGAAGATGACGAAAATCCTATTTTTGATGTGCACAATATATATTTGTCAGACTTTGTTTGCTACTTGTGATTTAGTAATTCTGAGCTACTTTCATACTTTCAGTCTTTCAAATATATTCTCCCTTTCTCCTCTATGCTTTTGCTGAGTTGTTTCACATGCTTCAATGTGCTGGCACGGTATGTCTGTATGTCTGTCACTCTCTTTGGATTTCACGCTCTTGTGAGTGGAGATGGTGTCAGACAAATCCTCCCTTTCAAGGCTGGGATACCTTGCAAGTGTGGAGTCTCTAGCTGCAGAGTGTTTGAACAAATGGCTTCTCTTACTAGTAATTGAAGTCTATGAAACTAAGATGTGCCCTGTATTTTCCTATGGATTTCTTGGTGTCTATATCTATCAGCATCTTTATCCAGCCTCCTACAACCTCATTTGTCATCCCTTTCCTAGCTTTGTCGTTAAATATATTCATTAAACATACAAACAGGACAGTTAGAGCATACCATACAGAGAAGAAAGGTAATATTTCTTGTTCAGAGGCACCCAAGTTAAGACAGAAATAGGAAATCACTTTTATGTGACAGATTTATAGTGTAATATTCCCTTTTTCTAAAAAAAAAATCCAGGCAGAACAAACTCTTGTCTGTAGATGGAATATTACTGTTATATTTTCTATGGAAATAAAGTGAGTGGCTTAAACAGTGTCTAAAGAAGTGGGCATGGAAAAGGTGAGAGGAGACATTAAGGAATTCTCTTTGGACAGGTGTGGGCGAAAAGTGGTGTTTTTGGTTTAGAGTGGGGATAGTTGTTCTGGTTCCAGGCTAGGCCTGCCACCTGGGAAGATATTACCTAAGTGAAAAGGAGAGCTTAGGCAAGACCAGGAGAACACTATCAATCACTGGACCAAGACCAGTGAGAAGCTACAAGAAGTAAATATTGTCTGTGTAAATCAAGAGGCTGAAAGTCCAATAACACATTATGAATGAAGGGCACAACTAGAAAACAATAGAAAAGATCAACTAAACTAAGAATTGTTTTTAAAGAGCAGTAATATTGGCAAACTTTTATCTAGACTAAGAAAAAAAAAGAGCAGGCTCAAATAAATACAATCAGAAATGAAAGAGAAGACATTATAACCGATACCAGAGAAATACAAAGGACCACTAGAAATTAGTATATTTATACACGAGCAAATTGTATACCCTAAAACGAATGGCCAAATTTCTAGAAACATACAATATACCAAGATTAAATCATGAAGAAGTAGAAAATCAGAACAAACCAATGACAGGTAAGGAGATTGAATTAAGAAGACTCCCAATAAAGAAGAGTCCAGGACCTGATGGCTTCACTGGCAAACTCCACAAAACATTTAAAGAAGAATTTTCCCCAATTCGTCTCATAGTCTTTCAAAAAATTGAGGATAAGAGAACACTTTCAAACTCATTTTATGAAGCCAACATTACCCTCATACCAATGCCAGAGAAGCACACTATAAGAAAGAAAATAACAGTCCAACGTCCTTGACTAACACTGATAAAAAAAATTCTCCACAAAGTACCAGCAAATTGAATTCATAGCGTGTAAAAAGGATTATACACCATTATCAAGTGGATCTTCCCATAGGATACAAGGATGGTTCAACATAGGCAAATTGACAATTGTGATACACCACATTCATTAAGAGACAAATAATAAAAGTAAAGAATAAAAATTATAATATCAATAGATGCAGTTAAAGCATTTGACGAAATTTAACATCCTTTCATTACAAAAGTTCTCAACAAATTGAGTATTGAAGAAATGAACCTAAACATAATAAGGGCCACAAATGACAAGATCACACCTAACAATCTTACTCAATGGTGAAAAACTGAAAGCTTTTTCTCTAAGATAAGAAAAAAGATGAGGTTGACAACTCTCACCATTGCCATTCAACATAATACTGAAAGTTCTAGCCAGAGCAATTTGGCAAGAAAGAGACATAAAAGGCATCCAAATTGGAAAAAAAGAATTTCAAGTCCTTGTAGATAATGTGATCTAATATGTCTAAAATATAGACATATTAGATATATATCTAATATATCCATATATACATATATGCATATCTACATATATAGATATCTATATCGATATCTACATATATAGATATCCATATATACATATATGGATACATATATATGTATATATGGATATCTATATATGTATATACATGGATATCTATATATGTAGATATATGGATATCTGTGTATGTATATATGGGTATCTACATATATATGGATATCTACATATGTATAATATAGATATAGATATCTACATATGTATAATATAGATATAGATATCTAATATGTATAATATAGATATAGATATCTACATATGTATATATGGATATAGATATCTACATATGTATATATGGATATAGATATCTACATATGTATATATGGATATAGATATCTACATATGTATATATGGATATAGATATCTACATATGTATATATGGATATAGATATCTACATATGTATATATGGATATAGATATCTACATATGTATATATGGATATAGATATCTACATATGTATATATGGATATAGATATCTACATATGTATATATGGATATAGATATCTACATATGTATATATGGATATAGATATCTACATATGTATAGATGTGGATATCTACATATGTATAGATGTAGATATCTACATATGTATAGATGTAGATATCTACATATGTATAGATGTAGATATCTACATATGTATAGATGTAGATATCTACATATGTATAGATATACATATTATAAAAATTATATATGTCTATATACATATATGTGTGTCTATATCTATATATGTATATATACATATATAGATATCTATGTATATATACATATATAGATATCTATATGCAGATATCTATATACTATATCTATACATATATAGATATAGACACACATATATGTATATATATGTATATAGATATCTATATATGTATATATACATAGATATATGTATATATACATAGATATAATGATATAGACACACATATATGTATATACACATATATAATTTTTTAAACTATACCAAAATTGATTAAAAACTTTTAAATCAATTAAAAAATTGATTTAAAGTATACCAAAATTGATTAAAACTAACTAATTTGCAAGGATACAAAATTGGCATACAAATTTGCAAGGATACAAAATTTGCAAGGATACAAAATTGACATACAAAAATTGTGTTTCTATACACTAACAACAAATTTTTCAAAAAAATAAAGAAAATAATGTTATTTCTAGTGGCATCAAAAAGAATTAAATACTCAAGAATAAATTTAACCAAGGAGTGAAAGATTTATGCATTGAAAACTATAATATATTGATAAAAACATTGAAGAAAACACAAATGAATACAAACATATACTGTGTTCATGGATTAGTAGAATTAATATTGTTTAAATGTCCATTTTACTCAGAGTGATCTACAGTTTCAATGCCATCTCTATCAAAATTTCAATGACATTTTTCACAGGAATAGAAAAAAATCCTAAAATTTGTATGGAACCATAAATGACCCCAAATAGCCAAAGCAATTTTGAGCCAGAAGAACAAAGCTGGAGACACCAGACCTTTTGATTTCAAGTCATAATACAATGCTATAATAATGAGTACAGTATGGCACTGGCATCAAAACAGGCAGGTAGACCAATGGAAGAAAATAGAGGGCCCAGAAATAAACCCACACACACATGCTCAACTAATATGTGACAAAATTGTCAAGAAACTTAATAAAGGAAGGATAGTATCTTCAATAAATATTGTTGCAAAAATGGTTATTTACATTCAAATAATTAAATTGGACCCTTATCTTAACCCAGAAACAAAAAAAGTCAACTAAAATTATATTAAAACTTAAACACAGTACGTGAAACCACAAAGCTTCTAGAGGAAAAGAACGAAAAATCTCCTTGATATTGATCTTGGCAATGATGTTTTGAATGTGACACTTAAAGCGCAGCCAATAAATGCAAAAATAAACCAGTGGAACTAAATCAAACTAAGAAGTTTTTTGCACAGCAGTGAAAACAATCAACAGAATAAAGAGGCGATCTGTGAAATGGGAGAAATTATTTGCAAACCACGTATCCAATTAGAGGTTAGTTTCCAAATTATATAAGGGATGCAAACTCACACAACAGAATAGCAAGAATTCAAATGGCCTGAATAAAAAATGCACACAGATCCTGATTAGACATTTTCAAAGAAAACACACAAATGGCACACAGGTGTATGAGAATATGCTCAACATCACTACGCGTCTGAGAAATGCAAAACAAAACCTGTTAGAATGACTGTTATCAAAAAGACAAAAGATAACAAATGTTGTTTGTAAGGATGTGGAAAGATGGAAGCACTCTGTGTTGATCAGATTGTGAATTGGTACAATCATTGTCATGGCAGTGGTAGCCCCGTCTAGTGTGCCACTGAGAAGATGCTGGCTGCAGAGTGGAAGTCGCCCCGCACTCTACGTAGTTGGCGAGGTGGTAGCCTCACACTCCCAGGTGCAGCTGCAGCTGCCTAGCTACGGCTCTGAACCCAGGCATCCCTGCACTCTGAGAAGCCCAGGAAGCCCTCCCTGGCCCTGCAAGTTGGGAAGTGCCTGCTCCCGTCCCTGGCCTCTCCAGTTTCGGAGGAAAGTTGTGGCGGAAACCGGGTGCTGTTGCAACCCAGCTGGGTATGCGTGCACTCAGGATGGCATTGACACACCAGCATCCTGCCGTCTCGGCCCCCTCTGGACTTTGGGCACCTAGGAGCACAGGAGGGAGTCTGAGGGGTGGGCTGAGGGTAGCTCGGCATGAGCCTGCAGGCATTCCTCATCCCTTGGCACAAATAGCCTGGGCACCATGGATGGCATGTTGACGGCAGGAGGCAGACAGGCTCCTGGGTGGAAAGGGGCAGGTCCCAGGTGAAACCTCACCTTCAAGCCAGGGACAGCCTGAAGCCTGGTGGCCAGGCTGTCAGTTCTGGATGAAATCTGTGGCTTAGAGTGAAAACTCGGGGTGCTGTTTCCGGGCCTGCTCATGGATCCCTATAGACCAATCAGCACACACTTCCTCCCTGCTGAGCCCATAAAAACCCAGGCTGACTGGGAAACAAGTTGGGAATACCAACTGCGGGAAGGAGCTCCTCACTCAGGGTCTCCTCAACTCATCAGGACAGCCTGCCTGCAGAAAGGAACTACCCACTGCGGGTCCCCTCTCTGCTGAGAGTTGGGCAGGCGGTGCGATGACCTGCCTGCAGAAAGGAGCTACCTACTTCGGGTCTCCTGCAAGCTGCTCTGTCACTCAATTAAGCTCCTCTCCACCTGGCTCACCCTACAGTTGTCTGTGAATCTCCTTCTTCCTGAACATGGAACCCGTCTAATGGCAGGACTGAAAGAGCTGTAACACAAACAGGGCTAAAACATGGCCCCCTGCTCACCACGTTGCAGGCAAGGAGAAGTAGAGAGGAGTTGCGGCCCTTCTAGGAGCCGAAACCTCGGGGCTCCCTGAACCAGGGCTGTGACGCACTGTATTGCCCTCTTTGGGGGTCTAGGGTTCCTGTCATCTCCAAGATTTTGGGCATCATGGCAATCCCCTTGTCCAAATGCTGCTGACCTCAGTGGAAGCTGCTTGCAGTATGTCTTGTCCAGGCACAGCCTTGCCTGTAGCTGACACCTGTGCTGGTGCCTGGAGCTGCCCTAGTCGCAGCAGCCGCCAGCGTACCTGGCTGTGTGCAGTGGCCAGATCCCATGCTCACTTGCCCACACACCCCTCTCCACTCTGCGCCTGTCTCGTCCTTGGCAGGTGTGGGATCCGGGAGGGTATCGTAAGCCAAGCATAGCAGGTCAGGCCAAGCGGACGGAACAAGCCCAGCAGGCATGAGCAAAACCCAGGCAGAGGCACCACTGGCCACAGAGGTTTCAGCTGCTGAAGTGACACCCTAAGGATCCTGAGACAATTGTAGAGATTCTTCCAAAAACTAAAATTAGAACTACAATATGATCCAGCAAGTCCACTTCTGGATATGTTTCCAAATGAGATAAAAATCACAATCTTGAAGAGACATCTGAACCTCTGGAGTGAAGCATTACAACAGCAGAGTAATGTTGCAGCATTATTCACAGTGGACAAGACATGGAAACAACCAAAGTGTCCATTGATGGATGAATCGATAAAAAATTTGGTATTTACATATACTATGGAGAATTATTCAGCCTTAAAAAAGTAAAAAATCTTGTCATTTGCAATAACTTGGATGAACCTGAAGGACATTATGTTAAATGAAATCAGCCAGATGTAGGAAGACAAATGCTACATGACCTCAGTTATATGTGAAAATCTTTTTTAAAGTTATACTCCTAGTAAAAGAGAAGAGAATGGTAGTTATCGGGGGCAGAAGGTGGGTACTGGAAAAGGAAAAAAGTTCGTCAAAGAATATAAACTTTCAAGTTATAACACAAATAAATTTTGAAAATTTAACATACAGTATGATGACTCTTGTTAATAACAACGTATTGTATACTTGACATTTGCTAAAAAGTAGATCTCAAGTGTTCTCATTAAAAGAGGTAACTATGTGGAATAAGGGACATATTAATTTGCTTGGTTGTGTTAATTATTTTACAATGTATAGGTATATCAAAACACCATATTGCTCACCTTAAATATTTGTTCACCTTAAATATTGTTCACCTTAAATTTTTTCACCTTAAATATTGTTCACCTTAAATTTTTGTTTGCTAGTCATACCTCAAAAATTCGAGGCAGGCAGATCACGAGGTCAGGGGATCGAAACCATCCTGGCTAACACAGTGAAACCCCGTCTCTACTGAAAATATAAAAAATTAGCCAGGCGTGGTAGCGGGCACCTGTAGTCCCAGCTACTTGGGAGGCTGAGGCAGGAGAATGGCGTGAACCCGGGAGGCAGAGTTTGCAGTGTGAGCCGAGATCACACCACTGCACTCCAGCCTGGGTGACACAGCAAGACTCCGTCTCAAAAAAAAAAAAAAAAAAAAAAAAAGAAAAGAAAAGAAAAGAAAAAAAGAAAGTATTGATTATGGGAAAAAATTATGGTCAATATGACTGAGACACTACATTTTAACTTAATTAAATTTTAATTCATTTATATGATTCAACATTAATTTAACTTACTTTTTGCTTTTGATTTAATGTGGCTAGTGTCTACAATATTGGATGGCACATTTATGAAGTGTGTTTAAGAATGCAAGACTTTTTTTTACCATCTATCTGTAGAAGGAACTCTAAAAAGATACCTACACTCATCTGTAAAATGGGACTAATGATAAAACCAACTTCATTGATCTGTTGTGAAGAGTAAATTTAAAAGGTATAGAACAAAAATCATTTAAGAAAAGCTTAACAAGTATAAACTATTTCATAAATAGTAATGGTTACAATTATGTGGATAACGATATTATTATTCTATGAGAATAAAACACCATGTACCCTAACATGGAAGCGTGCAATTCCTGTGAGTGTCTGAAAAATGCCCTGTCGTTTGCATAAATGCAATTTTAGGTTTTGGCTGTCTCCATTTTAAAATAGTCATGAAGCCACTTCAACAGGTGTATAGAGAAGAAAATAGAGTGAATGTATTATAAGAAATTCTCTCTCAGGGCTCTCTAAAGGATTCAGATATTTTGGCCAAATGTATTGAGCAATCATCCTTACTTTACAGAGGTAAAGATGCAGGAAGTGTAATTTGATGTGACTACAATGACATGTGTTGATTCAATGGAACATGGGAGCAGTACTTTTGTATGGTGGAGAGGAACTAAAAGCTTAAGAAGGTGAAAATCAGCAAACAGCAAAGTGAAAATCAACGTAATAAAATTCCTCCTACTGTTTGTTCTTGGGTTTCCTCTCTTCATATCACCAGCATTCCATCTGGATGCTTCCCAAAGTGTGCTATAATTCCCATCCCTGGATCCTCTGAAATCAGTACAGGTCTCATTGAGGTTCCAGGTATTCATGATCCTAGCCTCAATTAGATATCTCAGAGAGTAATACAGAAAGGCCTATTAAAGAAAGAAAGTTGGGGGAGAAAGCAAAATTCTGATCCAACAAACAAAAACGTGGCACTATCAAACTACTTTCTGCAGTTTTATCTGATGTTTTATTAATGCAATAGCTGCATTTTAATTAACAGAATTCTTTATTGTACATGTACCCTGAGGGTGTTTGCAAAAAGGGCATGCACTTAAAAGTCTATAGAGTAGATAAATACGCAAATATTGCCTCAGACAACATTTCCCCACATGCACTGGTAATAGGTATTAATTACTGTACTGGGATTTTGCAGAGACAATTTTAGTAATCTAGGCATTTGCCTTCCTGTCCTCAGCTTCAAGGACAGAGATTATCATACTGGAAAGCATTTAAAAGGGAAACACTAAAGCGTTGGGGAATTTAACTAATCTGTAATGACTAAAATACATGAACATTTCCAAAAATTTCAGATTACTATCTCAATTTGGGTCGTCCTAGAAATGAACCCTGAGGCAAGGATTGGAGGGGCTGTAACTGATTTGAGAGAGAACTCAAGAATCACCAGTAAGGCAGTGGGAAACTGAGATAAGGAAGGAAGTGTGGCCAATAAAATTTGCAAAATTATCCGGTAGTCAACATGGGCAACTAAAGCAAAATTCTACTGGAGAATGCTAAAAGATACCACAGAGCATGCCTCAGAGCTATCCCAACTGAGGGATGAGGACATCGGTGAGTCCTCATGCTTTTACCCTGATGTACTTGAATGGAAGATGTATTTCTCTGACGGCATCTATGCATAAGGCCAGCAAGCTTTCCAGCCAGGATTAAACACACACACACACACACACACACACACACACACACACACACACACACACACACACGCATACACCACACAGAGCTCTCAGGCAGAAAGACACAGATGCCTGCAGTACGTGCCCCTTGCCATGTGAAGGTGAGTAGTAAGGGGATGTCAGCAACACCAACAATGTCTGCTTGAATCGCAATAGTTTCTATTGAAAAAAGGAAACCTGTGTGTATATTTGTCACTGATTACTTTCTATTGTAGCCAGTATGCACACTTTGGGATCAGAGAAACTTGACTTCAAATCTTCAGTCTATACCTTTAAATGGATGACTTTAGATAGTTTGTATAACAGCCATGTACATCTCTTTCATCATTGGGAAAATGGGAATAATATAATGTAGGTAGCAGTAGACTTATGTTGAAAAGCACATGAGATAATACATGCATAATTACTTAATGCTTTACATGAATATGTCTAATATACACTATATGAAAAAGTATGCAACAATTAATAAATGGCCCGTATTATTTATAATTACACTTTTCTGCATTCATGTAAAACGGCGTGTCTAAAAATGACAAAAATACGGTGATTGCAATCTCTTCAGCTTCTAAATGTGCTGATATCTGCATAGTGCATTCTAATAGTCAAGGAATTCATAACATAGGAAGTCTGATTCCATTATTTAATATTTATAATAAACACATTCGGTAGATGATTCTCTTCTTTGCTTAATTACTGGAAGTACTCACCTGCTCTCTACTTCAGGTTTCATCAAATGAACTCTTCTGCTCAGAAAAGGTGAGGTGCCCGTCTCTTCAATTCCTCAGATTTGTCAAATATCCAAAATTCTGCAAGTTCATGATGTATTAGTCAGAGTTCTGGAGAAATTGAGCCAAAACAATGTGTATGTGTTTGTACACATGTGTGCACATATGTTTCTCTCTCTGCATAGATACGTATGTATATATAGAGAAAGCACATTCGTGCAAGACTTTAAGAAATTAACTCATGATTGTGGAGATGCAAGTCAAAGTCTGCAGGGTGAAACCCAGGGAGGTTTTGCTGTTCAAGTGGAAGGCAGTCTGCTGCCCGAATCCCTTCTTGCTTGGGGAGGGAGAAATCAGTCTTTTGTTCTATTAATTAACTGATTGAACGAGGCCTATCCACATTAGAGAGGTCAATCTATTTTGCTCAAAGTCCACCAATTTAGAGAAGAATTTTATGCAGAAATCACCTTCACAGAAACATCCAGAATAATTGTTGACCAAATATCTGCTCATCTGGCCCAGCCAAGTTGACACATAACGCTAACTCTTGCATATGAGAACGCTAACTTTGTTTCTTCTACTTCTTGTTTCACTGCAAGAGTAATTGTTGAATGGACGTAAACATACCATATATCTTGTTAGTAAATGTGTTTAGACAGCCCTGATCTTACACTGAGTGGCAGTGAGTGATCTTCCATAAAGAACGTCTGCCTTGTCTGAAGCCGTGTTTGTCATAACAACCGTTCATTCATGGATTTAATATTCATCCCTTCATTCATTCATTAATTCATTTCCTCAGCACTAATTCATGTCTTCTTAGGCTAGGCAGTGTGCTAGGTTGGGGGACAAGGCAGCAATCACAGTTCTTTTCCTCAAAGAGCTTTTTATTTTTTTGTGAGAAGAGCAACAGTTAAGTGAAAGATTCAAATGCCCTGTGGCAACTGCCATGCCCACAGCTCCTTTGTAATGTGTAAGACTCTCATAGGGAGGCTGCCATCAAGGCCTTTAAGGAGGGCTGCACTGTCACGACCACAGGGCATTGAAAAGCCACCTGCCGCCAGCTGAGACACCTGAACGAGAAAGAGCCCTTTCCAGAGGGCTAAGAGGAGTGTGATGAGGTGGGGAGAAGACAGCCTTGTGCTCTGGAAACTGAAAGTAATTTCTTATTTTCATTAGAATTCAAGCTCCTTGAGGGCCATCTCGTCCCTTGCTATCCCTGCGCTAGAACATACTCAGACCAAGCAGACATAGTGGGAAAACGGTGCAGTTTGTGCAGACACAGGAAGGAAAGAGGAATAGAGGAAGAGGGGTGGATAGGATGCTTGAGGCTTAGACTCTAATCTGTATGCAAAGGGACATCCAGTAGAAGTGTTAAGCTATGGAAAGACAGGAATTACATAGGAGTATGGCATGTTTTAAACAAAAAAACAGAGAATCCTTAAAAATAATAACCAAATGTCTAACTATGACATCATTTCCATTGCAAAGAGAAGGAAGCATGCTCAATTTTACAAAGGGAAGCAAGTTCCAAGATTGTCTAACGCCTGGGACTAGTTTTATTATGGAAAAGGATTTTAGTTCTTCCACCGAAAGGAGCGGTAGAAGCTCGTGCATCAGAGTCTGAACCACAGGAGACTTGGATGCCTGTTCTTTTCAAAGCACTCTCATATTCACTAAAGGAAACAACAGGTACATATCAAGAGATTGTGGTCATAGAATCCAAACACTAAGCTTGTAGCTCTAACTCTGCCACAGAATCAATTGCTGAAAAGTAGCTTCTGGATTTGTTCCACTTCTTCACAAGTAGGCTGTTTTGAATTTTCATAACCTACCATCCTGCTTCCTCCAAACCCAGCCTCCTAAGGACCAGGGACTCCCTGGCAGGCACAGGAGTAAAATTCAGGACGCTAACGCCCAGGCCCAGGCTCTGTCTACTCCTTATACTTCATCCACAGGCTTATAAAAGTCGTTTTGAGGATGAGTGCTGTCTTTTCTTGTGGATGGTGTTTGATTTTTCTTCCTCCTAAGAGTCATGGAGAGTACAAAAAGAATGATGAAATAAAACCTAAGTGGGTCATCGCCTCAAGTCAGCTAGCTTCTCCAAAATATAGATCTGGCATTTTTCAGAATTTAAAAAAGAAAGTCAGCACGCCTTTATCCTTTGCTTACTAGAATGCTGAAATGGCTAAGGAAGGATTATTGATGATGAGAAAACACAGATGAAATAAATATAAGCAAGAATTTTCAAGGTTCTGATGTACTCTACGTCCAAGAGATGATCATCAGACAATTCCTGCTGCCCTGTACCTTGACTATGGGTGGATATTTCAGGACAAGAAGCCAAATTCATATATACAATTCTAGAGAGTGCAAAGAGAATAATTTTTTAAAAATGCAGTTATACGCTCCAAAATAAGCCAGTTGGGAAGGGTCTGGGATAATAGCAGAAGCTGATTCATAGAGAAGGATCCAATATGTCTTCCAGTCTAGATATTTGGAACCATAAAAACAATTTACATTTGTTTGGTGTATTTTGCAAAGGACTTTCACATCTGTGGTGTTGTCTGATCCTCAGAGGAACCTGTGGCAGGAGTATTATGGTCACTATTTCACAAATGGAGAACTGGGTTCTTCATACACTTCATATATAAGGAAAGAAGAGCTCAATTTTAGGCACTTAACTATTTGCCAAATGCAGTCCTTAGAACCCATAACATAAGTTATCCAATTTAATCTCCCAACAACTTTGGTGCAGATGCTATTGTCATTTACAAATGAGAAAATAAACCAAGATTAAATAAATTGTACAAATGACATTTCCATGTCTCCCAATGTGGTACTGACACATCAGTAATACTGGACTTGTAATATTTTACTGCAATCAATTTAGTTTATGTAGCTTTTGCCTCTACAGTGTTGGAGCACTTTGAAGACAGTCTCTTTTGATCTTAGCTAACCAGCATCTTAGACACATTAGCTCTACACATTGAAAATGCCATTATGTGCAGTAAGTAGGCTATTTAACTTAAAGTAACTTGAGGTACTGACATGGCATTTTTTCAAGTTTCCAAATGATTCTAGTGTACAACCAGGAACAGAACCCCCACTGACCTGGGTTATAGTAAATGTTAAGTTACATAAACTCAGTCTTCATCTTGCTCTTAGTCTCTCCATCCATAAAATTGGTACAGTGGTGGCTTTGTGTAGAAAAATTTGAAGACTTTAATGCGGTGGTGGGTATAAAACTGCTTAGCATATTGTCACGTAGCAAATAGTGAAGAAATAATAGGTATCATCATTGTTTATAGTATCCTTGTTATTATGAGTGGTAATTATTGAATGATAAGATAGATAAATTATTTTCTAAAGTGTAACATCATATCAGTGACAAATTTGAGATTATGTCAAAAATTCCACTTTTAATAATACTTTTATCATGAAAATGCCAGCAAATATGTCATTCTCCTAACTGCTACGCCATGAGTTCCTTTCCGTGTTCTCACATTAAGTAAGGGATTCAATGCCAATGGCAGGCAAGGCAGATTCCAGAGTAAAGACGTCCTCGGCACCAATGATCAGTATTCATGCAGTTCTTCCTCACTCTGCATATCTTGAGGATTGAGAAGGGAGGGCAATTGCACATGTGCCAATAGACAAAGCCAACATTACTGGTTGAATTTGAAAGTGTTAAATGATACCCCCATGGACTGAATCTGAAGGGGGAAAAGTATTATAAGTAATCTGATTAAGTGAAGATAAATTATACTCCTCAAAGAGGTCAAAAACAGAAGTGTTTTATCCAATCTTCACAAATCAAGGTCCGAAATAAAAGTAGATAAATATTGGGTAGCAACTCTTCCCAGGAATGTTTGGAAGTGTTAACCATCAGACTCTGATTGTCTTTGAACCTCGATCTATCTCCCTAAACTATAAATTGAGGATGATAATATCATTACTCCTCCCCTTGTTGTGAAAACCTAGTAGGAAAACACTGTATAAATCTGGTGTGACAATTATACATCTTTGTGATAATGTGAAGGGGTCATCCCTAATGTCACAAGACCTGGTTTAGTATATGCTTTATTAAAAAAAATGTACAGAGTGAAATGAAGGAAGTTCTTTAGAGAATATTTAGTCTAATGTGCTAATTTGCAACATCAGAAAATGCAGGCTGAGCAATCTTAATAACCTTGACCAAGGTCATAGAGTGCATTCTGTCTTGCAGGCTATGTGCCAGTTTATCGGCTACACTGCCTCACCTACAGATGTGGTATCATCTAAGGGATTTCCTTCAAAACCCGTCACTTTCATTTTTGGTTGAAGTAAACAGAGAAACAAGGCAAATTTTTCCAGGAATGACTCCTTGCATAAAGTCATGCTTAATGTGATTTTATTTAAGTGGCCACTAAGTTTGATCATATTATTTTAGCCACAAGGAACATTTCAGGCTCCTAGATAATTATAAACTAGTCACATTTCTACAAAGCCGTGCTTAACTTATTCAAACATACAACAAGTGATTATATTCTAAGAGCAATTCAGCTAATTACTTTGCATTAAAAAATTAGAAATAAATTAATTCTAAAAGCAAAGTATATACTCAAGTTTTCTATGTAACAGCTTGGCATAAATATTTAATGCATATGAAATCTTTGAAGGGAGTGTTTGGCAAACATTCACTTGGGAAAGAAATCAACAAATTATGTGATAATTGCTTTTGTGAAGCTTGGCTCAAAAATTAGAGGAAATTGAACTTCAGAGTTTTAGGATTGAGTATATTCTCAGACCTAAGTGCCTTAAAATTCTTTCTCTTCTCTGAATTTTTCATATATATTATCTATATTTCTTTTTGTTCCACATTTTTTCTTTTCTACCTTTTGAAATTTTTAAAAATATATTTCTTAAATGACAAATAGAAATGGTATGTATTTATGGTAACAATGTGATGTTTTGATTCATGTATTCATTGTAGAACAGCTAAGTCGAGCTACTTAATATGACCATCACCTAACATACTAATCAGTTTTGTGGTGATAACACTTAAAATCTATTCTCAGCAAATTTTCAAGTATACAATACATGGTTATTTACTATAGTCACCATATTATACAATAGATCTCTTGAACTTATTCCTTCTGTCTAACTGAAATTGTAGATTATTTGACCAACATCTCCTCAGTTCCCCCACCTTCAGGCCATTTCACTTTCTGCTTCTATGGGTTTGACTTTTTACAATTTCATATGCAGTAAAATTGAGATCATGATGTGTTTGTCATTCTGTACCTGGTGTGTTTTACTGAACGTAATGTCCTTCAGGTTTATCTATGTTGTCACTAATGATAGGATTTACTTCTTTTTTAAGGCTGATATTTCAGAGTATTTCATTGTGTATCTACACCACATTTTCTTTATCCATTTACCTGCTGGTAGACACATAAGTGGAGTCCATGTCTTGACTATTGTGAAGAATGCTACAATAAGCATGGGATGCAGATATAGCTTCAACACATGGATTTAATATCCTTTGGACATATATCCACTATTGGGATTACCGGATCATATAGTAGTCTTACAGTAAAAAGTAAACGGGATATTACGTAACACATTGGAATCTGCTCAGAAGATGTGTATTCTAGCACATTCTTCTCATACTTTCTGAGTGTGACTTAAGTAGTTTAGTACTCTGAGTACCAATTTTCTTTATTGTAAATTTTATTGATTTGTAATTCATTTATTTATTCTGTTATATTTTAAAGTACCTACTATGTGGAAGGCTCTGTCATAAGCACTAAAGATGTAGCAATGAACAAGACAAATGTAGTCCCTGCTTTTATGTCTTTTATGTTCTACTAAGATATATTTTTAATAAAAAACTTTGCAAGTTACAAATGTGCTAAAATTGGAATGAAGGCAATGATTGAAAAGCTTGACATGCTATAAAAGAATATGACAAGGTGTCTCATTCCATCTGGAGAGGTCAAGGAATACTTACATAAGTTGAATCCTAAAGAAAAAAATAATTCATATACATGAAGTTAGAAGATAACAGGCTAGGGAATACAGTTTTCTAGGCAGCAAAATAAAAAAAAAATGCAGTATTGATCTCTTTTTATCTCAGTGAGCTCTTACGAGGCTCAAATAAAAGAAAATATTCAGAATAATTGGAAAATTTTGAACTGTTATACTTACTGCTGCCAGACTCCTCCTAGGAAGATGACACCTTAATGCAGTTATGGGAATGGCTTGGAGATTAAGATCTATGAAAATGTATTTGGCCAATGCCATGTGTTACTTGGCTTAGCGTTGCTGGTAAAACAGGTCATGTTGAGTCAAAATGCAACCTGAAGTCTGATGTCAGAGCTACTGACACTTCATCTTTTGTTGATCTATTTAACCTTTCCCAATCCTTCCTCCAGAATTCTGAGAGCAATTTTATTTAAAATGTTGCCTTATCCTACACATATCCTCGATGATCTCTTAGTGTTTCAGAGGATGGAAGGGGAGATCCACAAAGAATCATAGACATCAGCCACCGTAACCTGTGTGTGTTTCCAGTGGGGTCTCAAGTAAAGTGCTTCAAGTATAGATTGTATAACTGGGAGTGATCATCAGTATCTTCAGTGACCTTCTCACTATCACAGTCATACTTTTCTTTCTCACTTGTTCCTATTTTTTTTTTTTAGCTCCCACAATCTTACTCTTACTCTACCTACTCCAAACTGTAAAGTTTGTTCAAATGCTCAATCACAACAAGGTAAGGTCTGAGCTTCATGGTCTTGTTAGCAGAAGCTATGCTCTGAAGATCCCTTTAGCTGAAGGAATGGGTTTCTTCAAAACTCCACTTTTAGGATCTCAGGGCCACTCAAAGCCATAGGCCTCAGCAGTTGCAAGGGGAGAGCAGAAAGAGAGGATGCTATTGCTCCACTTTCAATTCTTTTTTTTTTTTGAGATGGAGTCTCGCTCTGTCGCCCAGACTGGAGTGCAGTGGCGCAATCTCTGCTCACTGCAAGCTTCGCCTCCTGGGTTCACACCATTCTCCTGCCTCAGCCTCCCAAGTAGCTGGGACTACAGGCACCCGCCACCACACCCGGCCAGTTTTTTATATTTTAAGTAGAGACGGGGTTTCACCGTGTTAGCCAGGATGGTCTGGATCTCCTGACCTCGTGATCCGCCCACCTCAGCCTCCCAAAGTGCTGGAATTACAGGTGTGAGCCACTGCGCCCGGCCCACTTTCAATTCTTATCTCTGCTTTACATATCCTTGCGCCACCAAAACTTTTCTTACTTTTGTGACTGGAAGTAGCACCCCCTGTCTCTAGTTACTGTAGTAGTGTATCCATATGCTTCTTAAGTCACTTCTCCTATGTAATGTAATATAAATCAGTCAGTACATGTTTAAATAAGGCCATCATCAGCTCTTGAAAGTAGGATGCATTTCTGGTCATCTTTAAATCCACCACGAAACAAAATAAATAGTTAATGCAAAGGGAGAGAGAAGGGAGAACAGCAGAAAGTTAAAAAAAGGGGAGGGAAGAGAAATAGAGGAAGGGCAAGAAAGAACAGCTTTAAAGAGAAGAAGGCCAGTGTGAGGAGGTGCCCAACATTTGTCAGGAACTAAGGTATAATCATGTATAATACATTCTAATATATATTTTTATAATTTTAAATATATATCATTGATTTTAAAATGAAGAAATATGAATACAATGATAATTTTCATTAGGAATCAGGAGTGATCATTGTAATACTGTAAATCTTCAACCCATTCATTTGACTATTTTGTTACATGATTAAAATAAAACTCAAATAATAGAGATCAGTACTTGCAAATGGACGTGTTTTCTGCAAGTTACATATTGTCAGGTTTTTTTTTTTCTATCCGTTTGTGGTCTCAAGGAATGCTAACTAATCCAAAGTCACCCACCTAATGTGTAGCAAAGATAGACTTCCCACTCTATAGCCTTTTCTCAGGTTCACAATAAAGAGACAATGCAAATTCAAATAAGTGGATAAGTGAGTAAATAACGGATTTCTAGTAAGATGGACCAGGACAAAGTGCAGAGACTCTAGCTTTTAAACAGAGCGAAGACACTGTCCATCTTGCAATTAATCCCCCATTCTTGGCGACATTAGCACATTCTTTTAACTAATTAGTATCAACTGTAGCCATATGACCAATAGCATTTCATTTGCCTAAAGGTGGCTTATCTTAGTATGTGCAAAGCTACCCATCCCATTGATGTACAAACTTTTAACATCAAATAATTTTCCCATGACCTGTAAATAATGGGAGATTTGTGTTTTCAAATAATTCAAATAGCGTACATTGATCTGCTAGCCTAACAATCCTTATTTTTGTCAAGCTGGAAACAGGTAGTAATATTGCAGCCCATAGAACGCACTTATTTATTTCATTCAGTCAGTCACTTATTTATTTATGCTTTTAAATTTCTCTGTTCTTATCCATTCATTTTCTATTCAAATATTTATTCAGTGTGCATTATTTGCAGATATGAATTCAACTACAGTCATAGGAAGACAAATGAAAGTAAAACATAAAAAAGTCAGGCAGATTTTTTAATAATATTTTTTGTAAGTATATATATTTTTATGCTAACAAAAATGGAATGTATACTCTTTTAGCATGAAGAAGTTCAATCTGAGTTTTAGAAGGAAAGCATTAAGAGTTCTCATTTCTCCATTGCTGAGATTCTCTCTTGGGAATTATTCAATTTTTTTCAGAATGCTTTGGTAATTCTCCAGACAATGAGATTTTGTTCTGGTTTCTGAGTTTATCTACTCTCACAGGTCTTGAAGTAAAGACATACTTATGGTAGACTTATTTTTTTTTACACTAGACAGAATCTTTCCATACCATATTATTTTTAATATAGAGAATTATTTATTTGCAGTTTTCCAAATGCAATTAAAAGTACATGTGAAGTGGGGTGATCAGCTGTCCTGTTCTGATTGAAACTGAGGTGGTTCACAAAAGTCCCAGAATGTGGGACTTTTGGTTTTAAAGTCAGGATGGGCCTGGGCAATCTGTATGAGTTGGCCACTCTAAATTGTGATGCAAATCTTCATTTTTCAGGCATGTATTTACACATAGGGAACATTTTCCAAGTAGCTTAAGTTTTTCACTTTAAGCAGCAAAATAATGGTTTTGTAACCACAGGTTTTTTAAACACACACACACGCCTCCATTCATTTTAAAAGATAACACAATTGAACATTCTCTTCATGTTTCAAGCTGAAAAATAAAAATAGAGATGGTCCCATGGTTTCTTACCTTGAGTCAGGAATTATTCTCAAACTTACTTGTCTGAAGTTCTTCACATTTTAAATTATTACTATTTGCTATCATTTTGCTGTCTAATTACCTGGTTACAGAATTTCCTCTTGTCTCCCTTCATAACCTGTGAGCTCCTTATATATAGGGCCCTTATCTCATTCATCTCTATACTTCTCACCATGAGCCAGCTCTCACCATCTCAGAGAGAGAAGACCTCTTGGAGCATAGCTCAGAAACATGGCTTAATTCCATTTGTGGTGAGACAGCTTACCCCCTGCCCAGTATTCATCAGCTAGTTGAGCATTTCTAATTGTTTAGTCTTATCAGTGGTGTTTTATTGAACAATACCTAATGTTAAGCCTCCTGTGGTAAGCATCCTATATTCATTAAATTATTTTGTAATTATTTGTTTAATTTCCAGTTCCCCAAATAGGCTTTAAGGTGCATAAGGGCAGAGCTCAACCCCAGCTCTATTCTCAGTGCTTTATCAGCAGGCTTATTATAGTGTCTGGGTTATATAAGCACATAATTCTTTAATTAGTGAAAAATATAGAATATTGTTGACAGCTAACATTTATTGAGAATCAATATAATCTGAACACATATTATGCATTCTGCATACCTTCCTTTATCCCTTTTAATATTGACCTTTACAGCAACCAAATACTACCTATTGATAGCACAAAGTGGTATTATTAAGTGAGAACTGAAATAGAATTTTGTTCTGGATATCAATATCTATTGTCTAAAAGTAAATGTGACTGTTGTGGGAATGGTATGAGTAAAAGGATGCAATTTTTAAACTCATTCTCACATTGTTCTTGGCAGGTCAAGGTCCTCAGTGGCTGCTGGCTGGATACATCAGTTCCTTGCTGTCTGGGACTCTCCTTAGGGCTTCTCACAATGTGAGAACTGACTCTGAGAGACAAAGGTTGTCAGAGCATAGTCGAGATAGTAGTCACAGGTATCTGGTAATCTAATCTCAGAAATGACACACCCTAATTCTACTTGGCTGTTATTATAAGTGAGTCAAGAAGCTGAGTCCATACTCCAGGAGAGGAGAACAGTCAAGGAACAAATGCCAGTAGGCAGGGGTCATTGGGGCCATCTTAGAGGCCACCATCATATTACATACATAGACACACACAAAGAGGATTGTATTCTAAGCAAAGTAAAGCAAAACTCAACTGAGACTTTGGAGGAAGAATGGAATATACACTGGGGCAAATAATTTCTCTCTATGACAAATAAATCATGTAACCACACTGAAGGATAAGAGAAAGAAAGGAGCTACCTTAAGTAGCATTGAAAAAGATTTGTGTGTGTGTGTGTAAACTATAGGTATAAAGACCAAAGTAACTGTTTATAAACACAGTATGATAGCTGGTAAATTTGTTTTTCAGAAGAGTACAGATGAGAGATTCTGAAACCATATTACATGCATACAAAGTATGAACTAATAAATATATAAATTGTATATAACAGAATCCAGGTTTCCCATTGTGGGAGTAAGATGCTTCAAATCTTAATATATATACTGATTATATATATATATATATTTAATATATATACTTTATATATACTTTATATATATATTTAATATATATACTTTATATATACTTAATATATATAATGGTAATATATATATACTTATATCTATCTCAATAAACATAAATATATACTGATATAATTTCACTTTAACCAAGCACCACAGGGTTCACCTCTTTGAGGTGAGGATAAAGTGAATCCTGTGGTGTTGATTAAGGTGAAATATATCAGTATATATTTATGTTTATTGAAATAGAAAGATAGATACATACATACATACATACATAGATGGAAAATAGGTAATTAGTTATAGGTAGGTGTGTGTGTGTGTGCATAGGCTAGCACACAGCTATATATTTCTTTATCTATCCCTGCTTTGCGACCTTAACGAAAAGATCAAAGTTGACATCACCAGAGATAAATCATGTTGATATCATGTCCTACCCCCACTCTCTGGCATAAAGTGATGAGAAGAGCACTTCCCCTCTATGTTATTCTTCCTCAACAACCATAACTCTAGGTAAATCACGTGAAAAACACAAACAAACCCCAGTTTAAGGATACCTGACCAAATGCCTGACAAATGCTCTTTAAAATTGTCAAAGTCATGAAAGGCAAGGAAAGACTGAGGAACTATCATGGATTGGAGGGGACTAAGCAGTCATGACAAATAAATGTAAGGTAAAGTTCCTGGATTGGATTCTTGGTTACAAAAAGGACATTAGTAGAAAACTGATGAAAAGTCTGAACTAGAGTTAATAGTATTATGATATTGTACTATGGGTATTCTCTTACTATTGATATCTATTCTATGGTTGAATTGAATATGTGGTGATGGATACATGGAAATTATATTATTTTTGCAACTTTTATAGGCCTAAAATTATCTTGCTATTAAAAGTTTAATAAATCTGAGAGAGAAAAACAGTCTTCCTTGGTAACTTGGTTTTCTTCAGTCATTTTTGTTCTAGAGCTATTTGTCTATGTTGAGCTCAGACAGATGCTGGATTGGTTCATGCTGGATGATTCTATTGAGGTAAAAAGAAGCCAGCAGGGTTTTGGTAGTTGTGCAGGGTATTAAAATGAATTGGATACAAGATGACTCCTTAATGCAGGTCTAAATCCAAATAAAACATTTGCTGAGTTATTTAGTGATGCTGGAAACTAGAGGACTGAAGTGGAAAAGCAGAGTGGAGTTTCTGGCACTCTCATAGTACTCACAAGCTGGAGGGGGCCTGAAATAAATGAGGCTGGTTTCTTTCTCAAGATTGTCGTGAGAATTTGAAACCAGTGAGAAGTAAGCTAAAGAGGTAGGCCAAAAATTTCTATGAAGCAAAACTTCGAAAGCGAGGTTGCAGAAATCTGCTAGGCCATTAATAAAAGTTCAGGAGCATATCACTTGAAGAATAGAATGAATGAGAAGTAACCTCACTTTGATCATCTATGTCCTCTGTGGTTCTATTATATACTTGTCTGGCATGTAATAAAACTTATTAGACTGTTGATAATAATGAAGAGAAAAGGAAAAACAAACAATACAAACAAATACTGATAATCCAAATATTGGAGTTATCAGATAAGAACTTTAAAATAACTGTGACAATGTGGAAGAAAGAGGAAAAGAAGAAAAAATAGATGAAAGGGTGGATTTTTAAAAACAAGTAAGTATTCTACACATAAAAATTATACAATATTCAAAAAAAAGAATTTATTAAAAGAGTTATCAGTGGACTGGCCACAGCAGAAATCAGGATTTGTGAACTTGAAGATGTATGAGAATAAAATATTAAATTAAACCATAAAAAGAAAACATTTCTGAAATAATAGAATTAGTGATAGAAACATGTGAGACACAAGTGATCTATAAAGACTATCCAGAATGAGAAAAAGAAGATATAGTAGTGGGGACCATATTTGAAGTGATAATGGTTGGAATTTTCCAAAACTGATGAAAGCCATTGACCCATAGATTAAAGAGATTTCATGCACATGTATTGTATTAGTTACCTTTCACACTGCTGTAAAGAACTGCCTGAGACTGGGTAATTTAGAAAGGAAAGAGGTTTAATTGACTCACAGTTCCACATGGCTGGGAGACTTCAGGAAACTTACAATTGTGGTGGAAGGCAGTGGGGAAGCAAGGTACCTTCTTCACAAGGCGGCAGGAAGGAGAATGAACACAGAAGGAGCTATGAAACACTTATAAAACCATTAGATCTTTTGAGAAGTCACTCATTATTATGAGAACAGCATGAGGGAAACCATCCCTATGATTCAATTACCTCCACCTGGTGTCTCCCGTGACACATGGGGATTATGGGCATTATAATTCAAGATGAAATTTTGAGTGGGGACACAAAGCCTAGCCATATCATGTATAGAGCCTACACCAGGTTCCTTGTTCTCTTGCCCCAGGTCCTCTTTGAGGTTACAGCATGGAATGTGCTTGGAGACTGGCCTGGCATTTAGTAATATACAATCTGAAACTACACAGGAGTTAATCCCAGGGGACTTCGTTCGACCATTGGGGTATTCAGAAAAGGACAAATAGTATGACTTTAATCTCAGTGAGTTTAAATGGAATGGAAATATAAATTATGAATTCAAATGTATAATTAAAGATTGAAAGAAATAAATAACAGAGAGGTATAGGAGATATGTTACTTTATCAAGATTATCTCCAGTTAGAAGAAGGAGGAATATATGGATGTAGATAGATTTTGCATGATTTTTTTTTGAAGAATGTCTAGAATTTATTAAAGGAGAGGTTGAGGCTGTAATATTGAGATGAGTTATTCCAAGCAGAATAACTACGTGAACTCTATTAGCCTTCTCTTCATAATTGTAATCAAGTTTCCTCTGCCTTTGCAGTAATTGTGGGAGGCACAAAGATAATGATGAATATGTCATAGTTTCAGCCATCAATTAATTTGCAGATTAGTGGAGAATATGAGAAGTATCTATTGTTTTCCAGAAATAAACACAAGCACATTAATATTTGAGTTGACATAGCAACTCTGATTTATAGGTGAGGCCACAAAGATTCAGTGATAACCTCTCTTGCCCAAGGTCATACAGGCAGAAATTGGAATGGGTAAAATAGTTGAAATTCAAGTCAGCCTTCTCTACACCTAATATGTTCTTTAGTATGCACATATAACCAGAAGGTAAGGCAGAAAAAAAAAGATGTCACAAGAAAGGTATAGATGAAGCCCTATAGGCCTTCAGAAGAAGAAAATATCTCCACAAGAAGAAAGCATTTATGTAATTAGGAATTATTTACCAATGCATACACCATCCAGTGCCATTTGTCTTATCCCTATGAAGATATGTAGATGTTCATATGAAGTGATTCACAGAAACATAAATACTTTCTACCTCATCCAAAACTGTGGTCAGAGACTTGCACTTAACAAATTAATTAGGAAACATTGCATTGATTGACCTGAGTATTTGCATATTTTTGCCCATGCTTATAAAAGGCCATGTTGTATCCCTATGAAAGGAAATTATCCATTAAATGGAGGAAAAAACAAGATTCAAATAACTAGCGGAAAAACTAACCACATCAACAGCTAGGGCCTGTCAGTTTTTAATAAGGCTGAGTTATGATTAAGTTATAATTATGATATAAAATATTATGCAGAGCTGTAAGGAACAAGAGACATGCTTATTGAATTAGACAGTGTAAATAAGTACTAGTAATAAAAGAACACTCATTTCATATTCTAGTAAAATATGTTCATCATCCTGTTATTTATTATTCAAAATATTGAGATGCAATTCCCCCAACTTAAAGTGTAAAATAACAAAAAAGTTTTATGAATAATTTGATCTTGCTGTCACTGGGAGGTAGTATCATCATCACATAAAAAAGTGTAGAGCCTGTGGGAATCGCTCAAACCCCAGTTCAACTCTCACTACATTAAATACAGTGCACTATACCAGATATGTTGCCTCACTTTTTAGTCTTAATTTTCTCTATCATAAAATGAAGAAAACAATTTCTGTCCAATCTGGGTTTTATGTGGATTAGAAATAATATATGGGGAGTGCCTGATTCATAATAAGGTCACGAAAAAACACAGTTGGTGGTTTCCATGATTTGTATCTTAATTTGTGCCTAAAATAACCATGGTTATTGGTATTATTTCTGTTCCATAGGTCTTCATGAGAACTTGCTCTGCCACTCCTTATGATGGGTGCCCTAGTGATGCAAGCCACCAGGAGCTCGAAGCCACATGGGACAGTCCCCACTAACAGCAGACACAGACCCAGAATGAGACACAAAATAAATGCTATTGGAGCATTTAAAAAAAAAAAAAAAAAAGGATATCAATTTACAACTAGAATTTTCTGGAAAGTGTTTTGAAGTAGGTGTCGTTATTTCGTACGCCAGGTACTGTTCTTAGCACTGGTGATACATTATAGAACAAGGGAGAATATTGACCTTTAAGTCTCTTAAATTCTTTTGTGATAAAGCAGAAAATAAACATGCACATAAAGAAATAGAACTGCAAGTATACTAAAACATAAAATAGAATAATTGAATAAAGAGAAGGAGGAGTTTCTGTATGTGGCGTGACCAGGAAGGGCCTCTTAGACTCAGTGACATTTGAGTTGAGACCTGAGCTGTGAGAAGCAGGCATCCATGCACAAACATGGAGGGCAGGTTTGGCAAGAGGATGGCAGTTTAAAGCCTGTGAAGCAGGAATGAGTTTGGGGGTGAAGAAAGGACAGAGGCAAGGCCAGCATGAAAGAAGTAGAAAAAGAACACAAAAGTCATTAATGAATTGTAGTCCTAATAAATAATCCTAACAGCTGCACTTCATGATTACAGATTAGGATACAGGTTCAGTGCTAGATTTTCTGTATAACTAAGCAGTTTTTACTCCTTTTAAGAATCCTATGTGTAAGACATCTGCTTAACTCCATTTCTTAGAGCAACAGAGACTTCTGTGTATTAGCATACTTATCTAAGATCTAATTCTAAGAAGTTAAAGAGCCTGGGTTCAAGAGTTAGTTTGATTGAATGACTCTGAATCCTGTGTTTATGCATTTATTTTTCATGCTAACACTGCATTAGTGTTTGTCAAGATCTTTCTGCAATGGGAGAATGGATAAGGCATAGTATCTGTCTTTGAACTGTGACCTCTAGAAGGTCAGTCTCAAGAGTTCAGTATTTCCTCTTTTTTTTGAGACAGAGTTTCGCTCTTGTTGCCCAGGCTGGAGTGCAATGGCACCATCTTGGCTCACCACAACCTCCACCTCCCAGGTTCAGGCAATTCTCCTGCCTCAGCCTCTCGAGTAGCTGGGATTACAGGCATGCACCACCACGCCTGGCTAATTTTGTATTTTTAGTAGAGACGGGTTTTCTCCATGTTGAGGCTGGTCTCGAACTCCTGAATTCAGGTGATCCACCCGCCTTGGCCTCCCAAAGTGCTGGGATTACAGGCGTGAGCCACCACACCCGGCCCCAGTGTTTCCTCTTACTATCCTCAGATCCATATCCTGGAGTCAAGAACTTCAATCCATTACTTCACAGTGTGGTTATGGGAAGTGAAGAAGATTATTTTGGGCAAATGTTAATCACAATGTCATTACCTGTGGTAAAAGTAATTATTTTATGTTGTTGTTTTTATAGTTCCTACATTACCTAGCCCATGTCTCCATTGTGAGTAAACAGTCAGGGATCAGGAACCTCTGTCTGATCCAAGAACAAGGTTTATGCAATCACCTACACGTGATCAGTCATCGATCTGATTCTTCTGCAACCTGGTGTGAAACTAGTGTAAATAGTTCACCAGTAACCGAATGAACTCTGGTGGGGGATGATTCTAGGGGAGGATTAGTTAAGAAAATTTCTGAATTCCTATATGAACCTGACTGGCGGTCAACTAACTGGGCTAATATTAGCCAACTGCCATGGGCTTTCTTCTTAGTTCTGTTCCTCACTAGTTGTGTGACTTGAATTTAATGTTTTCCATTCATTCATTTATTCATTCTTTCATTTATGTTCTCTTTCATGGAAAAAAATGCTATGGATCAGATACCAATTTAGGCAGGTAGGAATTTAATATAAATAAAGCAGCATCTCTTCTGACAATGGTACAAGAGATGGAGATATTTTATACATTTTTTTGTTTTAATATAGCATGTAAACTGCCATAACTGAGGATATAGTAATAGGACAAAATATATAATTCTCAAATCAAGTTGCTGGACATAGAGTAAGATTTTATGGAGAGGTGACACTGGAGCCGAACATGGAAGGATAAGAAAGATTAGTTTTAAGGAAAGACAAATAGCCAGTATATGATAAGTAAAGATAAATATTTTTTGAGCATCTATCTTGCTACATTGCTCTTCTAGGCTCTAGAAATTGGCAGTAAACAAAAGAAATTATTCCCTGCCTTTCATAAGCTTTCATTCTGTGTAAAAACATAGTGAAATAAAGCATTAACACAAAGGTGGCACTCATCATCAATTTTCGCTGGATTTGAGGTTCAAAAATAGTCCAAATGGGAAAGGAGACAGGGAGTATATGAAAAATCCAGACATACCTCCCTAGCTATAATGAAACTGAAATATGCCATTAACTTCTTGTCAGTTGCCTGAATACAGCACTCCTGCAATTCAGTAAGTAGCTCCTTCCCAGGGCTCCTTCAGTCTTTGCTCATGCGAAGAATCTCTCCATCTCAACTGTGAGCTCTTCAATGAATAGGGATACAAACTGCACATTTTATATCCTCAGTCCTAGCAATGATCATAGAACAGGTGTTCAAGAATGTTTGCTAATGAGGTTGCTAAATATAAAGCCAACAATAACAACTCTGTGTGTGTGTGTGTATATAACAGAAATTGTAATGCTAAAAACAATATGACTTAAAATAGAATAAAAGCTACCAAGTTTCTAAAGCTAAATCTAAAGAAAGAATCTAAGGAAATAAGTGCTATAACACTACATTAAAAGTGTGTACAGGTACAAAAGCATACAACAGTACATTCATACGTGTGTCTCTGTGTGTGTGTATTTATCCAGAATAGTGACAACTCTACAAACTCTCTATAACATTTATATCTATGAGATTCTCTTTTATATGGAACACCCAATACTGTAAAGATATCAATTTTCCCATGTTTGTGCATTAAATATACCCCAATCAATATCTCAGCATATTTATTGGTGTATGTGTGTGTGGGTGTGCATCTGGGTGCATTTGTGTCTGTGTACATATGTGAAAATTGACAAACTCCTTCTAAATTTTATGTGAAAGAAAATGCAAATAACAAGGAATAACAAAGAGAATCTTAAAGAAAAAAAGTTGCTGAAGGACTCATACTACCAGATATCACAATTTGTTCTAAAGCAATAGCAATTTAAACCATGTAGTATGATATGAAGGTAGATAAAGATATATCCATGAAATAAAATAGACAATTTGAAAACAGATGCTTGTGTATATAAAAGCAACTGCTCTTGGATAAAGGTGAAACTACAATGCAGTGGGAAAGCGCGAACTTTCTGTTGAAGGGTGCTAAGTCAATTTGGAATGAATGGGACTTTTATGTGAAAGGGAAAAGAAAACAACATAGGATAATATCTTCATTGCTACAAAGTAGACAGACTATGGTTTTAACTGGCTGCACGAAAAGTACTAATCAAAAATAATAATAATAAATTAAATTGTATTAAAATTAAAAGCCAAAACATACTCTTAAATTGGGAGAGGAAGGAGACAGGTTTCTGCAGGCCTCGCAAAGTCCTGTGGGACTAAAACATGTTCCCTAGCAGCAAAGCAAGTGTATGGCAGAAGCTCAGAATGAATGGATTTCCATAAATATCTGTTGGATTAATCAATGTTTTCATATTTAACACATACATATACAAAACATGAATTCACAGAATATAGGAGAGCATAGCATAGACATAAACTGAGGGAAGATTTAGAGATTCTGAAGCCATAATGACTGGCTTTAAGTATTTCCTTAAAAAATTATTAGCTGGTCTTGAGAAAGTTGCTTAATTTTTCTGCTCTTCAGCATCCTCAACTAAGAAGAGTTAAACAACGACAGCATATGCTTCAGAATGACGTAAATACACAAAATGTGTTTTCAGCACAGTGCTGGGCTCTGCAAAACTATTCAGTGAGTGTGAGCTCTCACATCGTACACTTTACCCTGCTGTATGGTGTATCAGCATGTGCATTTCTTATTTATTTATTTACATATTATCAACTTTTTTCTGTAAAGCATTTAACATTGCAGTAATGTACTATGAAATTAATTTAATATCCTCCACTTCTGCCTATAAATCTATAGATGAATGTAAATTTAGTGTTTTTGTATGTATAATGATGAGTGTATGAAATAACCTTTACTAAAGACCTCTAATAAGCAGAATGTTCAACCCATGGCTAAGGATCCTAGAAAGTGAAAAGAAGAAAGTTTCTAGTGCGCCTGCTGTGTCTCATGCATTTTACATGTATTTTCTTATCTAATCTTTCCAGTAAGCTATGGAAAGAGATATTTCTCCATTTAACGAAGAAGAAAATTGAAGGCAAACACAATTTAGTAATTTACTCAGCACTACAGAGCCAGTAAGTAATGGAACCGTCATTCCCACCTGGATTTATGTGCATTTTCCAGTGTACCATGTTGTCTCTTGACCCTGTAAGAACTTTTTATGTTGCAGATGCCACAAGATCTTCATACTAGTAGGTGCCATAGTGGATAAAAGGTTCATAAATGCCATAAAGAGATATGCTCAAAATACTCTGGCAGATTAGATGAAGATTAGATAAAGATGAAAACGTCTGGTAGTTATGGGTGTTAGTAAAAGATTCCTATGTTGGTTATTTTTGCTCAGGATGTTGTTTGTAAGTTATTACACATGTTTGCATTCTCTATTTCTAGCTCTTAAATCTAATCTTTTTATTGGGCCAATCAGTGGTATCCTCTATATCCTACTCTGGATCTGTGACAATTTCTACATAGTTAGTCATTACCTTGTAAAGGCTACTATCCTACTGATGAATGAATACTTCTTAAATGAAATAAAGAGATACACAGAAAAAGTGAGTTTCTAAAATATTGTATAGTCCAACCAGAAATGTCTATTTAGATACCATTCCTCTATTTCTAAATTATATTATGCTTTGGCCTATTTATCTACTTATTTTTGAAATCTGACTGGTCTAAAAATGTAACAGGACTTTATTTGAGCAGGTACCATAAGACACACAGACACTAAACTGATTTCCATGAAGAAGGAATTATTTTTCTAAATTCTAAGAAGCATGCTACTCAGAGCCACCTAGAGAAGCACCCAACAGAGATGACCTGGCAGACAGAAAAAAGAACTATGAGTTGGCTGGAATCTTCTCACAGTTTTCACAGGAAAGAAACGGGCAGGCAAGGTTCAATTATGAAGAGTAGAAACTTATGATCAGAAAGTTTGAAAAATTTTGATGGGCTGTGGGCTATATGGGTGGTGAGTAGGGCAGGGAATAGTGCCATGGACTGTACTAGTCTGATAAAAGGAGACTGGTGAGAAGTATGGCCTCTGGATTGGTTGGTTTGCTTATCAAATGTGTGGTGGCAGGCAAGTTGTTTGTCGTTTCCAGGAATTAGTTAACCTCCAGAGAAGTGGTTCCCTAGGCATTTAAAGGGCCCAAATGCTAGAGCATCAAAAATGTAAAAATAAGAAAACATAGCTAATCCACAGGCCTTACAAACTTGTTTAGTGTTTAATCAGAGAAAGGCAGATAACAATCTAGTGGGTGAGTCTCTGTAGGATACCATCTGTGCTAGGTGCCAAGAAAATATTATTAAAACATATAGTGGAATAAAACTGCACTATCTGACATACTCAAGGTGGTCTTTGTTTCAGATTATTCTTCACCTTTGGAGAATTTGTCAGCCACTTACTGAAAACAGTATTATTTAGATCTGTATTTAGCATGTTCCTTTTCCTTCATTTTCTTTCCTGATACTTCCATGACCATATATTCTTTGGCATTCTTTTTAATTAGCGACAGATGGATGAAGAAACTTTAGATCCTACCTTGGATTCCATGCTGTTTTGGTGCTTTCAAACTGGCAAAACCACAACCTAGCAGCAATCTCTTAAGCAACTTTAACTGCCCCTAAACTCTGCCTAATAATGGTCATTTTGAGGTTGGGTGTTGGGTTTGAGGCTGGGAGTGTCTTTACATAATTAACATGCAGCTCTTGGGGGAGTATAAACTAAAGCTCTCTGAATCTCTGCAGCCACAACCTTTGAACACCCAACTTCTCCAAGAACATAAATGCTTGCCTGACTCAATGTCAAATGTGTTGCATCTTTAAGAGTATGGAAGAGTTATGCATTAGAGGAAGGGAATAAAGTTTTATTATATGACATTTCAGCAAGCAAAACAAAGAATATCTAAATCCCACCTTGGCCCAGTCATGGCTCATTGTCAAGGAAAATATATTAACAAGGAGCAATGGCCATTAAACATTAAGGCATCACTTCATTTTCAGCCACACCTGTGAATGGAAATGCAGCAAACTGCACTCTGGTCACGTGTATCACACCACATCCTTTAAGACTGGGACCTGACAGGCTGAACCAGGGACATAGCTCTCACCTCCCTTCTCTCCAAACATGGAAGAAGTAATGTCCTTCATTCACACTTGCCACCAATCCAGATATTTTATGCATTCTCTATCTCTATATCTTTTTGCAAGTGATGAAAGAGGAAGCAAAATTATGCAAACCCCTCATCAGGTTGACCTGGACAGACACCCCATGATGCTGAGTCCCCATGAGCCTGGTACCAAAGAGGAGCTAGTGCCATTCCTTCTGAAACTATTCCAAACATTTGAAAAGGAGCGATTTCTTCTTAACTCATTTTATGAAGCCAGCATCATCCTGATACCGAAACTGGGAAGAGACATAACAAAAAAAGAAAATTTCAGGCCAATATCCCTGATGAACATCAATGTGAAAATCCTTAATAAAGTACTGGCAAACTGAATCCAGCAGCACATGAGAAAACTTATCCACCATGACCAAGCTGGCTTCATCCCTGGGATGCAAGCCTGGTTCAACATACACAAATCAATAAACGTAATCGATCACATAAACAGAACCGAAGACAAAATCCACATGATTATCTCAATAGATGGAGAAAAGGCTTTTGGTAAAATTTAACATCGCTTCATGTTAAAAACTCTCAATAAACTAGGGTATTGATGGAACATATCTCAAAATAATAAGAGCTATTTATGATAAATCCACAGCCAATATCATATTGAATGTGCAAAAACTGGAAGCATTCCCTTTGAAAACTGGTACAAGACAAGGATGCCCTGTCTCACCACTCCTATTCAACATAGTATTGGAAGTTCTGGCCACGGCAATCAAGCAAGAGAAAGAAATAAAGAGTATTCAAATAGGAAGAGAGGAAGTCAAGTTGTCTCTGTTTGCAGACAACATGATTTTACTTTTAGAAAACCCCATCATCTCAGCCCGAAAACATCTTGAGCTGATAAGCAACTTCAGCAAAGTCTCAGGATACAAAATCTATTGTGCAAAAATTACAAGCATTCCTTTACACAAGCAATAGGCAAGCAGAGAGGTAAATCATGAATGAACTCCCATTCCAATTTCTACAAAGACAATAAAATACCCAGGAATACAGCTAACAAGGGATGTGAGGGACCTCTTCAAGAAGAACTATGAACCACTGCTCAAGGAAATAAGAGAGGACACAAACAAATGGAAAAACATTTCATCTTTATGGATAGGAAGCATCAATATCATGAAAATGGACATATTGCCTAAAGTAATTTATAGATTCAATGTTACTCCCATGAAACCGCCATTGACATTCTTCACAGAATTAGAAAACAACTATTTTAAGTTTCATATGAAGTTAAAGTCCCCCTATAGCCAAGACAATCCTAAGCAAAAAGAACAAAGCTGGATGCATCATGCTACCTCACTTCAAACTATACTGCAAGGATAAAACTGTTTTAAATGCAACCAAGATGCTGCTACTTTCACACCTGGTTTTCATTGACCTGCTACTCAGCATCAGCTTTCTCTAGAGCATCTGTATCACCAATCACAGGCTACCCAGTCCATTATCCTTATCACCATGGTTTTCTCCATGCATAGTGGATGTTTTAAGAAGTGGACTGCCACTTTGTGAGGTACGAGAACATTCACCCTACCATCAGTGATGTGGTCTTCATTGCCTGTAGGAGAGTGATCCAACTTCAAAATTGAATCTTCTCACTTCTTTTCTCAAACTGTGTTCCACATTGAGTTTACAGGTTGGGTTATCTGGAAGCAAACATTGAGACAGAGTTTGATGTGTGAGACATGATTTATTAGGGATCATCAGCTGTGAATGGAAGAGGGAGGAAGCAAGATTGGACAGAGGCAAAAGTCAAATTGTGATAAAGACTGGCTTGACAGCCTTGGCCAGTCTGCAGGCAGCTCTGGTGCAAGGATTGCTCATCAGAGTACTGTACCTTGGGCTAAATGGACAGGTGTTTATCCCCACACTGTCTGAGTCCCTGGATTTGGACTTCTCCAAGAAGGACACAACTTCATGTTATGTGAGGTGGCTTTAAGCAGCTGAGGTACAGCTTGAAGAAGCTGATAACTAGAGGTGTCTGCTTGCTGACTGGGCAGCAAGTCTTTCCTTGAAGGGAGATCTGAGGGGACCTGCACTTGATTAACACACTTATATAACTGCAGAACAAATGCCAAAATTAGGAAATTAGCAGAGTTAGCATTAAATTTTAAATGTGATATACATTCAAATTTCACCAGTTGTACCATTCCTTTCTATTGGGGTGCAGAGAATGTTACCGCAAAGTATGATATTTTACCATGGTCAACACTGAATTTAAAGAAATTTGAAGGGCTTAAAAGCTGCCTCAGAACCAATAACTTTCCAACCTTCTCTTATTTCTTCTTCCCACAAGCACAGGGAGGGACTTTGTCTGGAGTTTCCCTATCTGACTAAGGAGATTTCTTTCCAAAAGAAATACAATTGTCTTTAGAACTCTTCTCTAAGAGTCTCATCAAATAACCAAAAAAGTTGAAACCAGCGACTATGACGAGAAGAGACTAAAAGTCATCACTGTGCCAGACAGACTTTTCATGTATTCTTCTGAGGGCCGCTTCCAGAAATTACCCGGGATACTTTATCTACACAACAAGACAACTTTTATTCCCAATGCAGTTTCACCTCTTACCTTCTAATAATTTCCTGTTCCCATTAAGCTTCTTAAGAGAATCATGTGCAGGATAATGTCTGCCTCCTGGGCCCATTTATTTTCCATAAAATTCTGTACTACCACTCTAAAATGCCAACAGTCTCCCACCTCCTTCTCCCCTTTGAAAGGGGACGATTGAGCCTCAATTATCTGGCCCTCTTTGGAGTCTCGTATTTGTGGGATTCCCAAGTCCCTGTGCATGTTAATACACTTGTATGCTTTTTCTCTTCCTAGTCTATCTATTGTCAGTTCATTTTAACAATGAACTTTCCAAGGGCAGAGGTGATGCTTTCCCATCCACATCTAAATTTCTTTGATAGCACTTTTTTCCTAGTTGAATTTCCGACCCAGGATGACACAAAGTATCCTATTGGCATGTATTTTATACTCCTTTAAATCTGGAACGATTCAAAGATTTTTGTTGTCTTTTATGATTTTAATTTTGTTTTATGGACATAACTCTGTGGTTTTACAGAATGACAATTTAGATTCATTGGATACCTTTTTATGATTAAAATACATTTTATAAGAAATACTATATAAATTATGATGTGTCTTTCATTAATTCTTATCATATATATAGTGCTGCGTTTTTTTTTCTCAAAACAGAGTAGACTAGTATTATTTTCCTCTTGTACAGATGGGAGACCGATGCTGAGAGGTTAAAATGATCTAGCAGTGCATGGAAGAAGTAGTAATGTCATTCAATTCAGGCATTTTAAAGTCTGTCTTCTTCACAAGACTTCTCACTTCAGAAAACTGTGCCTATTTGTTTTCTTTACACTTTCCAGTTGGGGAGTTAGTTAAAAATATATGTACCCAAACTGCACAAATTATAATCATCAGACATTAGAGAAAGATATCTGTGTTTTTAACAGGCATTCCACTTTGAATTTAATCCACAACAAATTCTGAGATGTTGCAACACAGGTGATTGTGTCAGTGGCTGACTAGGTGGATTTATCTGGCTTTGGATAAAAAGGCTTTACTCCTACTACTATGGGCTGTCTGGTGCTCCTCACTTTCACAACCCTGGCTGCTTCATCCATTATCAGACTTATCCTCACTCCCAGACTTGAGATTTTGGGAAACAAAGGAGCACAGGCTACGTTCAAACTGTGGCTTTGGCAAATCCCTTAACCTCTCTGAGCCTCAGTTCCTTAACCTCTCTGAAGTTAATGATACATGTCTTCTATGGAGTTTTAATAATATGTTAGAAATTGGCAATCAATAGTTAAATAATACATCTGAGACACTCTTACTGTTTTTTAAAAATGTTTTCTCTACACTCATCCTTTGGTATTGAAGGAAGATTGTTTCATGACCCTCTCCCTCAAAAAAATCTACAAATGCACAAATCTGTTCCATAAATTGGCAATGGCATGATATTTGCATATAACCTATGCACATTCTCATATACTTTAAGTCATCTCTAGATTACTTACAATATGCAATACAATATAAATGCCACATAAATGGTTGGTATTCTGTATTGAATCTTTATTTGTATTCTTTGAATTTTTAAATTTTCTGAATAGTTTCAATCTGTGGCTGGTTGATTCTGTGGATGCAGAACCCTTAGATATGAGGGCCTACTGTATTTAAGTCTTACATTTTACACAGAGTATGAAGAGCCTGGACCAGCCTCTCCTCTCTGCCAGTTCACCACATTCACACTCAAAACAAGAGCCCTAAAGCACAGAGTTGTCCCTGGGCCTGCATACGCCTGCACTCTTTTTTTCCCCCATTACATCCATTTCTGACCAGGTGTTTAGGACTACAGAGAATTCTTTCCTTTTTCTCATTGAATTATTGCTCTTCCTCTTAAAGAATTGATTCATTCTCTCACCATCTGCTTCCAGATAAAAACCTAAGAAATGCCTGGTCATCTTTGGGAAATAAATAACAATAGATAGATAAATAGATAGATAGATAGACACATAGGTAGATAAATTGATTTAGTATTTACTGAGAACTCCTTATTAAATTAGAGATTCCCTAAGGGGTAAAACAGTCAAAGTGCTATTTTCTGAGTACAAAAAGCTTGTGGTTTACCCTACAGCACCCACCCAACAGAGCAGCAAGCTCCCATCACAGCACGCCTATCTTTGATGCTGATTTTAACTTTCTGTGTAAATATCACAGGTTGGGTGGCATTTAGTTTTGCATGAATATGATGTTAAGCTTTAACTCACATTAATCTAGCAACTACAGTCATGTGCTGCATAATGACGTTTTCATCAATGGCAGACTGTATATATGACTGTGGTCCCATAAGATTATAAAACTATTTTTACAGTGCTTTTTCTATGCTATATTTAGATATGTTTAGATACTCAAGTACTTACCATTGTGTTACGAAGCCCACAGTACTCAGTACAGTAACATGTTGTACAGGTTTATACCCTAGGAGCGATCTGCTATTCCATACAGCCTAAGTTGGCAGGAGGCTGTTCCATCTAGGTTTGTGAAAGTTAAATATATGATGTTTGTGCAATGATGCAATTGCCTAAGACACATTTCTCAGAACTACACCCTTCTTAAGTGAAACATGACAACAGTTTCCTTCTTTTTAATTTTTAATTTTTGTAGGTGCATAGTAGGTGTACATATTTACAGAGTGCATGAGATATTTTGATAATGACATCATGGTAAATGGTGTATCCATTGCCTTAAGTTTTTATTCTTTGTGTTATAAACAATTCAATTATAGTCTTTTAGTTATTCTATAATGTAAAATTAAATTATTATTGACTATAATCACCCTGTTGTGCCATCAAATACTAGGTCTCATTCATTCTTTCTATTTTTTGTACCCATTAACAATTCCACTTCTCCACCCCACCCCCACTACCCTTTCCAGCCTCTGGTAACCATCAGTCTGCTGTGTATCTCTATGAGTTCCATGGACTTAATTTTTAGCTCCCACAAATAAGTATAGTTTTTGATTATTTCTCTATACAAAGGACTATGTTAGCTGTATAAGAAGAAATTCAAAAGAGAGAAAAAAAAACTTAGTCCCATCCCTGACAATTTATGTTTATTAGAAATTTGCTGACTCCTATATTGAGCAATAAATAGGGGTACAAAGATGGATACGACAGTAACCTAACCCATGAGTTGCGAACAATCTCATCAAATATATTATTTGGTCTACATTTGTTGAAAACACAGAACACCAGACTAGCAGGCAATATATTAGTTTCAAGGGCTGTCCCTGAGGCTGAGAAGGTGTTTGGTCTCTAGTAACACTATTAATTTTGGGGAAAAAAGAATAAATAAAAGCAGCATTGAGCTATCTTGTCTATTATAAATTAAAAATATCTTCTTATATGACATAATTAATTTTCTGGTAACATTATTTAATGGTGTGGATACAATGTTTTCAATTAAAAATTTAAAAACACATATTGTGGAAAAATGTTTTTAAAGTAAATGATCTACATTCTAGCGATAAAAACTCTAAATAGTTGGATATGTTTCCTTCTGTTTATTTTTTTAATTCTTTACTTAGATAGATATACATCTATATCTGTATCTCTATCTGTAAATAATTATCACTCTGCGCACTTAGTTTTATGTTCCATATTTTTTACTTACTTGCATATTATATACATTTTCTGGTGACCTCAAAAAAATTTTAAATACTTATTTTCAACAGTTCCACTATATGGTTTTAGTGTAACTTATTCAGCCATTTTTTTATTTCTGGAGATACACATTTTATATTAAGTTTATAAATAAATATGAAGTAACTTTTATGTGTTTCTGATTATTTTCCTCAGTAGTATAGGGGCAAAAGAAAACTTTGCTGAAAATCAATGGTAGTGTAGGGGAGAAAAACAGGTTCACTGAAAATCAACTGACAAAAGGTAGATTAACAGAAGAAAACATATACAAATATATTAATGTGCATATGGGCATGGGAGGCATACTAATATTAAAAGCTCAAATAAATGGCCAGACAATTGATGCTTTTACACCAACTTGAGGTTACAAAAGAATAAGAGCTCAGGACATGGCCAAACAGGTTATGGGACAGAGAGGAGAAGAAAGGCCCAGGGAAAAGGTGGTCATGTTGTGCAGATGAAACCTGTCAGGCAGCAGCCCTCAGAAGGAATAGATGGTAGCCAGTGGGCAATGTTCCTGTCAGAGCTTTAAAGGTTTCTGACTCTGTTAATCTTTCCTAGTTATGAGTAAGGGAGGGCTTCGCAAAAAGCCTGTGTGCATCTGTTGTTTATTTCACTTTATCTCCTCTACATGTGCAAATCCGCCCCCCAAAAATGACAGCATTTTAGCTATTCCTATGTTCCTAGCCCCGCTGAATAGCCATCTTGAAATAAGTCAAATAAGTATATATGGGGGCAATTTTTTTTTTTTTTTGAGATGGAGTCTCAGTGCCACCAAGCTGGAGTGCAGTGGTGTGATCTCGGCTCACTGCAACCTCCACCTCCCAGGTTCAAGCAGTTCTCCTGACTCAGCCTCCTGAGTAGCTGGGACTACAGGCACGCACTATCACGCCCTGCTAATTTTTTTTTTTTTGTATTCTTATTAGAGACGGGGTTTCACCACGTTGGCCAGAATGGTCCTGATCTCTTGACCTCGTGATCCGCCCGCCTCAGCCTCCCAAAGTAGGGTAAAATATTTTTAGTTTCCTTCAGTAATTTTTCCTATTTAATTATTTTTCCCCTTAAATATTACCTTTAATATGCTCAAGTAATTTTAGCAATCATATCATAATGTAAATTCCATTATCATATGATTTAAATGAGGAAGGAAGGAAAGAAGGAAGGAAAAGAGGAAGGAAGGAAGGAAGAAGAGAGGGGAGGGAGGGAGGAAGGAAGGAAGAAGGGAGGGAGGGAGGGAGGAAGGAAGGAAGGAAGAAGGGAGGGAGGGAGGGAAGAAAGGGAGGGAGGAAGGAAGGAAGAAGGAAGGGAGGGAAGGAAGAAAGGGAGGGAGGAAGTGAGGGAGGAAGGAAGGAAGGGAGGGAGGAAGGAAGGAAGGAAGAAGGCAGGGAGGGAGGAAGGAAGAACGGAGGGAGGCATGAAGAATGGAGGGAGGAAGGAAGAAGGGAGGGAGGGAGGAAGGAAGGGAGGGAGGAAGGGAGGAAGAAGGGAGGGTGGGAGGGAGGGAGGAAGGAAGGGAGGAAGGAAGGGAGGGAGGGAGGGAGAAAGGGAGGGAGGGAGTTGGTTAAGCTCTAATCTGGTTCTAATGAACTTTATTTCAGCGGGAAGCCTGGAGTTAAGAAGTGCAGAGCAATCAACCTGGAGCATTTTAAGTCTTGAGTTGATCTGTTAATGCAGTTCTGAAGAGGGGTTGACCAAAGGCAACAGGACACAGGGATTCAGCTTCCAGAAGTAAGTATAGGATCAAGAGGAGCTTAACTGGCCCTAACTAGGCCTGAACTCAGAGAAGATAAGAAACATCCCCTGGTTTAGTTGGCCCCCAAACACAATGGTCCAGGAAATGCTACCATCTCACAAGACTGTGTTCTTTAACACAGAACCTCTTTAAGGCAGAGGTTATTTGTATACATGATGAGAACACACAAGACTACATTTTATGGGAACAATTAAAACCTCATAAACATTCACATGTTTTACCTAAGGCTTGCACATGGTATACTTTCAAGAAATATTAATTGTAACCCAATTTTTCTATTGTTTATTCCCTGCAAATAATACCCTTTATATACAATTGTTTTCAATCTGTACAATTGCTTTCAATTTGTACAATTACATATTATCTGCTACTTTTCTTTTTCCTTTTTTCTTTTGTTTTTGTTTGTTTGTTTTTGTCTCTTTGACCACTCATTAAACCACACTGGGGAAGAAACTTAATATATTGTATTCATTATTATTTTCTTAATATTTGTTAAAGTGATGTTAAATTAAAATCTTTTGGGATTCTTTTACCATCCTGGATGATTTAAGTATAATTGCCTTAAACACTAAAGCATTTCATAGCTTGAAAGACTTAAGAGTTTTTTACAAGTTTTCCCGATTCTTAGATCTTGAAAATTCATGTTTTGTGTCTTCTTTGCAGGCTGCCTCTGTTTATCAAAATGCAAACATAAACTCTTTCAAGAATCCACTCACACTAATAAATTTATGAGACTATTAACCTTAAGGACAAGATCTCATAGCAGCATCTCACAACTCTTGTACTATCTGTACCCCAGCTACTCCTCCTCTCTTTACTTCTCATCAGGAACAAAGAAAATTTTTCTTCTCTAAACACAAGAGCTTTGTATTCTTTTCCGGAGTTTTAAAACCTGTGAGTGACAATTTTTATTTAATTTTTTTAAAGATATTTTTGCCTCTGTAAAGTGAGAAGAAAGTAAAAAATAGAAAAGTTATGGCCACAGAAGTTCCTTGCCTCAGGAAAAGTAGCTAGCTTGCTGTAGAGTAAATAAAGCATTGGAAAAAACAATCTGTAAGACAAGTACAGAATTAGAAGGGAAGGACATTTGTGCAAAACTAGTGTTTCAGAGTATATATGGGCAAGGTTTGACACTGACTCCTAGATTCATTGGTATAATTATTCAACATTGCAATGAAAAGTCCAAGGGACAGAGAATAGATGGATATTGCAAAGTCAAAGCCATATTCCTGTGCTTTTGAGATACAAGAAAGAACTTGACCAGCTCCTGTGGGCGATCCAAGGAGCACCGACCCTGTGATTATTATCATCTTTCTTTTGTCCCGGTGTTAGCAAAGTCTGAGAAATAACTGACAAATATTTCATTGCATTTGTGGAATTACTGTTCTTTTTTATCTTTGTGTCTGGTAAAGCAGATTCTTGCATCATGGCTATAGTGCAACCGTCTGTAAATTTGCCCCTGCCCTTCAGTTAATTAAGGCTGTGGTCACTTAAGTTGGCGTGGCTCAAAGTAGGTGCTCCATAAATGTTAGGTGAATGAACAAATACGAATGAATATTGTGGCTGAGGCTGCTCTATCATAGCTCTATTTGTGATAATAATAGTTGACCTGTGAAGTTGCAATCAATACAAACTCTTAGGGGCATCATATATAGATCTCTTCTCTTCTCTTCTTGAATTTATATGTTCTAAAACAGGGACTAGAAAGTTTTATTTATGTCGGTCACTAATTCATGAGGGAAAAACATCCATTGAAGTGTGAAATGACAAAACAACTTGTTATACTTAGTTTTTAAAGAGAAATATGGAGTTTCCTACTCACCTGCTTTTTTAATATAAAATAATTCAACAACTGGGCAGACATCTATTGATCATATATTGCATGCACGGAGCTATGCTATTCCAGGCTACTAGAACCAATGAGAATAGCTAAAGGAGACACATTGCTATTAGAAATTAATCCTTGTTCTAATTCTTTTGTATGTGTACATGCATATATATATATATATATGTATGAAGGATGAAGTGATCAATGACTAAGTAAGAACATTCTTTTTTTTTATAATTCACAATTCACATAAAGGAAGAAAAAGTTCAAAAACATTAGCAAAATCTCATCTAAATCTATAATTTTTTTTGCAATTCTCTCTTTCTTATTCCATACTCGAGGCATTGTGAGTCACTCACATTACATGACAAGATCTGTACTTTGAACCTCGTTCTATGTAGTTAACTGGATATTGTTATTTAACTCACCACATAGAGAAATGCTCTATTAGACATGTCCACATTCAGATCCAAATTGTGTCTACCTTCATGTGTGGTTTCAAATGTTTAGAGTATCCTTGTTTTGCTTTTTTTAAAAAAATCTTGCCAGAAACTCTTCTAACTGAGAAATGGTATCCAATTTAGTTTATACCCTCAAGCACTTACCAGTTTGATGGAACAAAAGCACAGGCTGATTAATATTTGATGAATAATTGGGAGTATAAACACAATGTCACACTTCTGTATCTCTCTCTACATAATACTATGCATATGTGTGATTTTATTTTTCTAGTCAAATCTCAATATTTATTAATATGAAAACATTAAGGGGAATAGTATTACATATTGGAAGAACAAGGTATTAAGGTGTCAAGCTTAGACACAAAGAGGTATAAGTAGAACATTTCAGGTTCTCTACTGAATAGTTTCATCCCTCACACTTATGCCAGAATAGACTTTATAGAAGGCAAACACAATATCTGTGCAACTGCCAATAGTCTCCACGTGTTCCTGTCACTCCATGTTCTTTCCAGTATCGTTTGTCCAGCATGAGCTTAAATATATATTTTATTTATTTCTTGGTATAAATGTATTTCCCTATGATACCAAATTGTGTTTTCCTAAGTAGTAATGTTAAACCTCTTTTGGTTTTTCCATTTTTTTTTTTTTTTTTTTTTTTTGAGACAGAATCTCACTCTGTCACCCAGGCTGGAGTGCAGCGGAGCGATCTCACTGCAACCTCTGCCTCCCAGGTTCTAAGGAATTCTCCTGCCTCAGCCTCCACAGTAGCTGGCATTACAGGCACATGCCACCACACCCAGCTAATTTTTGTGTTTTTAGCAGAGACGGGGGTTTCACCAGGTTGGCCAGGCTGGTCTCCAACTCCTGATCTCAGGTGATCCACCCGCCTCGGCCTCCCAAAGTGCTGGGATTACAAGCGTGAGCCACTGCTCCTGGCTGCTTTTTCCATTTATTTTTAATTTAAAAATATAACATACACATAGAAAAGAGAAAAAATGCTGAATTAAATGCATAGAAATAAAGTGGGTGCTATGTAGCCACCACTGAGAGGGAGTAGGAGTATATTAGTAGTGCCCAGTATTCCTCCATGTGTCCCTTCTGATCACATTCCCCTCCTTATCCTATAATATGTACATGCATATCTATATTAATATTGATATAGGTAAATATTTACAATTAAATATTATGTATAAGTAAATAAACATATTCATATATTGAAGTATGCATTACTTCAAGGCACTGATTTTATATTTATATGTATGTATGTGATTTTATTTTTATTTTTTAACCTTACATAAATGAAATAAAGTATGTGTTCTCTTGATTCTTGCCTCTTTTAGACAGCCTCATGTTTATAAAATCTGTCTAGATTTTTTTATGTAGTGCAGTTCATTCTTTTATATCACTGGATGATAGCTCATTGCATAAATACGTAAGAGTTTGTCTTTTCTACTGGTGATGGACATTGGGTTATTTCTAGTTTGGTGTTATTACATACTAATAATTCCATGTGGGCACCCATTCGCTGAATATTTATTTAGAAGTGGAATCAACTTATCACAGACTATGCAAACCTTCCCACTCAGTAGATAATGCCATTTTATTAAGTGACTATATGAAACTACATTCCCAGAGGCATTATATGAGAGTTTCTATTACTACACATTCTGAGCAATACATGGTAGTATAAGACTGTTTTAATTTTTGCAAGTATGCTGAGAAGATAATTTTATCTTATTGTGGTTCTAATTTGCAGTTCCCTGATTAATAATGAAGCTGAACAGCTTTTCATGTTTATTGATTATTTGGATAAAATATCTGCTAAAGATGTTTGCCTATTTTTCTATTGGTTTTTCTGCCTTTCTTTGTATTGATTAATAAAATAATGTATATAATTATGAAACCAGTCCTTTGCCATTACAAATATATGCAGTATATAACCCAGTAGATTTTCTCTTTTTTCAGCTTTATTAAGGTATGCCTGATAGATAGGAATTGTATATGTTTAAGATGTACCAACTGATGTTTTAATGCATGTATACATTGGGAAATGATCACCCAATCAAGCTAATTAACATATCCATCACCTCACATAGTTGTTTCTCTGATAGTTTTGCCACACAAACATAACTTGGGGTATGGGATAATTTGTTGTTCCAGCTCCATTTATTGTAAAGACCATTCTTTCCCCTGATGCTCTATGATGACACTTCTGTAATACATGAGGGGTGCACATACATGCATAAATTGAATCTGTTTCTAGCATCTCCTTTACCTTCAATTACTTTGTTTATTTCTACCTGTGCAAAAACTTCACTATCCTAATGATATGGTTTTTGGCTCTGTTTCCCCACCCAAATCTCACGTTGAATTGTAATCCCCAGTGTTGGGGCAGGGACTGGTAGGAGGTGATTGGATCATAGTGGAAGATTCCCCCCTTTTTGTCTTCATGATAGTGAGTGAGTTCTCACGAGATCTGGTTGTTTAAAAGTGTGTACCACTTCCCCCTTCACTCTTTCTTTCCTGCCTGGCCATGTGAAGACATGCTTGCTTCCCCTTTGCTTTCTGCCATGATTGTAAGTTTCCCGAGGCCTCCCAGTCATGCTTCCTGTATAGCCTGCAGAACTGTTAGCCAATTAACCCTCTTTTCTTCATAAATTACCCAGTCTCAGGTAGTTCTTTATAGCAGTGTTAGAACAGACTAATACACCTAATTAATATAATCTTTTAAATCTTGAGGGTATCTTTTAATTTTTTTTTTTTTTGAGACAGAGTTTTGCTTTTGTCCAGGCTGGAGTGCAATGGCTTAATCTCGGCTCACTGCAACGTCCACCTCCCAGGTTCAAGCGATTCTACTGCCTTAGCCTCCTGAGTAGCTGAGGTTACAGGTGCCCACCACCATGCTCAGCTAATTTTTCTGTAGTTTTAGTAGACACGGGGTTCACCATATTGGCCAGGCTGGTTTTGAACTCCTGACCTCAGGTGATCTGCCTGCCTCAGCCTCCCACAGTGCTGGGATTACAGGTGTGATCCACCAACCCAGCCCTAAATTTTTATTCACAGATAATTTTCTCTGTGAGGGTTTTACTTGTCTTTTATTCCTATGTACCATTTTTATGAGATTGCAATTTTTTAAATTGTTTTATAATTATTGCTACCATGTGAATAAATATTTAATTTTTAATTATCTATCAGTCTTGCTAGATTATTAAGAATTGTAATGTTTAAATTGAAATAAAAATTTATATAGAAAAATATGTTCTTTCATAATTATTATTTATTCAATTTGCTATTATTTTCCAACTCTATTTTTACAGTGATTTTAAACATCATCCAACAAATAATTACCAATCACTGACTATTCAGCAGGCACTTGGCTGTATCATGCTACAAAACAGACAAAGCTTCCTATCCTTGTGGAGCTTACATTCTAATGTGTGTAGGAAAGAATATGTACAAAAAAAAACCAGGAAATAAAATATCATAAAGAATACTGGAAGGTAAAGAGGGCTATGCAATTTATAGACAAGGGCATGTGGGATTTAGATGGTATGGTACAAAGGTTTGAATTCTAAAAAGGGTGGCCATAGGAGGTTTCTAATTAGGTTGTCAAATTATTGAAAACTTTGCTGATATTTTAATAGAGAGAGAACTGATGCATCTATACCAGGGTGAAAGATATTTTAACACTATATCCAATCCAAAATCTTGGCTTGTTTATCACTTCACTTGGGTTTTCCTTTTGCCCATAAATTAACTACTAGAATTTTCTCTATGAGTGTCTCATTTGTCTCTTATTTCTTCATACTCTTTTATGAAATTGTAATTTTTAAAATTTGTTTTTTAATTATTACTACTGTGTGAATATAGATTTAATTTTTAGTTATCTATTAGTCTGCTAGATTGATAATAATACATGTTTAAATTGAAATTAAAATCTATATAGAAATCATATACTCTGTAATAGTTATTTATATCATCAGAAATGGTAACAATTCTTATACCATTTGTTTATTCACTCATTTATGATTTCCCATTTTACCTAGGACCAAAGATTTCAATATTTCACATTTAAATATAACATTTTGTGTTTAACTATAAATCTCACACACACACATATATATATATATAGAGAGAGAGAGAGAGAGAGAGACAGAGAGAGAGAGGGAGACAGAGAGAAACAGTGAGAGAGAAATAGATTTTAAATAATTAACCCATGTGATTCTGAGGCTTGGTGATTCCAATAGGGCAGGCCCACAGGCTAGAGACCCAGGAAAGAGCTGATGTTGTATTTCAAGTCTGGAGGCAAAATTTTCTCTCCACTGTGGGACTTCAGCCTTTTTCTCTTAAGACCTGCTACTGATTGGATGAGCTCCATCCACATTATAGAGGGTACGCTTTACTCAAATTTTACTGATGTGAATGTTAATCACATCTAAAATAAACAAACAACCTTTACAGCAACATCTAGACCTGTTTTTGACCAGACTTCCAGACACCATAGCTTAGGTAAATTGACACTTAATCTTCACATCTTCATTCCTAGTTAGCTAATAATTTTTAATACGAGTCATTGTTGAATTTTTAAAAATGCTTTTCTGCAACTATTGAGATAAAATTATGTTTTTGTATTAATCTGCATCTGTAGGAATTGTGTTAATAGATTTTTCTAATGCTAAATCAAACTTGGATTTTGGGGTAAACCCTCATTATTAATTGGACCAATAGATAGTAGACAGACGAATACTTTGATTTGTCTTATCAACATTTTATTTTGGATTTTTGCCTGTAGGTTAAATGGTAACTTTGACCAGTAAAATTTCATTTTTCTTGTTCTTATGGGGTTTGGTATAAAGGCAATGTATAAATAATGTAAATTGAGATAAGAAATATTATCCCACTGAAAATGTTTATATGAACCTATAAGTATTTTTAAATTTTTGATAGAATTTCTGACAAAAATATGCAGGCTTTGAGTTTTCTACCTGGCAAAACTTTCAACTGTTCATTCAGGTTTTTTCCAAAGATTATCATGCTAAGACTGTATATTAATTTTTGAGTTGAAATTGAAATGTTATCATTTATATTATATTGTTTTAAGGTAATTTCTTTCATATATCTTCTAATTTATTGATGTAATGGTTTTATAATATTCTTTAAATATATTAATTATGTCTGTGTTATTTATAGCAATGAGAAATTTAATAATGACTAGATCCACTCGATTGCTTTACATTCTTTAATGGGGAGAAGAAAGGACAGGGAGAGAATGCTTGACTTCAGGCACAGTATGCCTGGAAGTACATTTTACTAATGCTGTGTTCCGAACTTCTGTCAGAGTCCTCTGGTAATAAAAGCTGAACTTGCCCCGACACTTAGTTGTTTCCTCCTCCAGAGGAACTCACTGGTTGACCATGAGTTTATTTGATAAACTCGGTGGGTTAAAAGAACATACATTTGGGGAACAGTAATGGATGAAGCAGTTTCTTTCCTCTGAAACTTATTTCAAAGTCAACTATAACATCTCCTAACTTTTTTTTTTCTTTTTGTGGAGTATAAGAAATCCCTGAAATTTTCTGTACTGGTAGACATGAAAGGCAAACATCCATTGAGACCTGGTTCTCTATGAAGTGGGGATGAGTATTCCAACCTCCTCTGAATCTCCTTGAAGAGCAGAACTTTAAACGGGGCAGGCTCTCATTTTGTATTCTCTGAACCTGTTTCCATACAGTGGGCATGGTGGGGTCACAGCATGCATTCTACTTATTGAATTCATATTGTAGGTTCATCTGAAGTCTAGGCCAATACCTTTAAGAATAGAGGGTCTATAACAGCATGGTTGATTTTGTCTCTTTTGTGGTATAAATAGTACCTAGGTAGTCACAGGCACATAGGAGACACTCAAGAAATATTGGAAGAAAATTTTAATAAACAAATATGCTGCTGACACAACACTTACGATGTATGGCCCCAAAGTTGTGGATCTGGGGAGTGATGCAAGAAGTCTATTTTGGTCTTGGATGTAATCCTTATTCTGTAATCCAGATTTGTCAGGGTAAAACAGATAGAAGGTTTAATTCCTATCAGTCTCCAGTGTATATTTCTAAAAGGATTCAAAATCTAGAGAAAGACTGATTGATGTCCAAAAATATCAATAAAAATTCCAGACTAGGCATGAAACTTATAAAAAATGAGGTTAATCCATAATATCCAGAATATGTAGTCTGTGTGAAATGTAGAGCAATAATCATTACCTCAAGAGAAAAAATCTTTCTCAAATACATAAGTGCCTTTCCTGATATTAAAACAGATACCTAGAGATATTAGTGCCATAATTGTTTTAGGCCACAGAGCTATGCGATATAAGATTTGAGACAAAACGTTACTACAACTTACTACTACTTTATTTATCTACTTTATATTTATACTATATTTATCTTGTATGAGCTTTCACAGGATTTTTAAAACAACACATATAGACTTGTAAAAAAAAGTAGCTCAAAAGGATCCCATTTTGTTCTCAAGAAATGAAACATAACCCTATTCAAATATCTACGAAGCAGCATTAATGGCCATGGTGACAAAACCAGTCTCTGGTCTGCAGTATAATTATAAACTGAGGTATTTAGTGATATCTGGCATCAAACAGATATTTAATGATATCTGGATGTGAAACTTGAGACAAGTTATTTAATCTCTCTGAGCCTCAGTTTTCTCATTTGTAAATGGTTGTAATATTGCTTACCTTCCAGATAATGGTATAACATTCTAGGTAATGAGGTAGCATACATTCAGAATGTCAGACACACAAAGGGAGAACTTGATAGGTCAACGTTATCTCAATAAGATTCACACGAATTGTAATCAGATGTTTGCATTTTACCTTCTTTCTGTTTGCAAGAAGGACTAAACATTGGAGCATTAAAAGTGAAGGGAGCAGTCAACTGGATAAGAGAGGGCTACAGGAAGTTTATATTTTATCTGCCTAGTATTTTTCCAAATGTAGTTTATATACCACTTCCATCAATTAGAACTAGCTTGGGGTTGCTTCAATAGGTATATTACTTTATTTTCTTTGTATCCATCAATCCACCCACATGGAAAAGCCTATTACATTCAGGAAAGTATTCATTCTGACTGGAGCAGGTTCTCACTGGAGCATAGAATATGATGATGGGGACATGAAAGAGTTAAACTGAAAAAAATGCAGGTAGAGCCTACTATATCATAATAGAGGAGAAGCTTTTTATCATACAAAAAAATTGAGAGTTAATTAAGGAGTTTCTAAAGTAAGGGAGTACAGGATTATATTCATAAGATCATTCAGAATTGAGCAAAAGCATATTTAATATTTCTGCCCAATCATAGTAGAGTGACAAGTCACTTATATTACAAAGACAAGAAGCACAAATGCACAGAGACACCAATGGCAAATGAAGTCGCTTGTGTCGATGCTTATGTCCTGCATTTGTATTATTTTTAGTTATGGCATGCAGGGCTCATTTGCTCAGTTAAACATACAGACCTGTATTGAATTCCACCAGGCAGCAGTTTCTCTTCTTGGCAGTGGAAATTGGAAAATTGAATTTTCCTCTGCATTCTAATCTGATTCAAAATTTATTTTGTATTTAGACCCTTTATGTAATTATTGCCATCATCATTATTTAGCAGCTTTTGCTTAATCTATTAATGAAAAATGGGTATTTTCAATTTGGGTGCTCTGCAAGGTCTATTAGGGGTAGTTATTGCTAGAAAAATGTGTAGGCATAATAAGTAGAACTTAGGAACTGCAGCATAGTCACACGTACTGTTCTTAGCAGCCAAGGCAAGGAGTGAGAGGTGGAAAAAAAACTCCATGGAGGAGCAAAAAGAAAATTGGATCAGTATACTGAAGGTCTGACTGTTCAACCCTAGCTTTTCATTTAACTGGCTGTATGATTTTAGAAAAGAAAATTTCTGAACTTAGTTATCACATCTGCAATATAAGGAATTGGGAGAAAACAAAATATATGTTGACAGTCTCTTTCAGCTTAGGTCCTCATGAACTTAACCAAACAGAACAGCATTTTGAAGATCGTGAAACTGCCCTGGCGTATACTTTCTTCCTGTTTGTGACTTGTGGCACTCTGAGGACCCACCCTGCTGCTTAATTATGCCAGCCCTAACTACTTCAGATCCCTAACTTTATAGAATCAAAAGACATTATAGAGACCTTTCGATCCAGTGCCATAAAATATAATTCTCAGTACCATTAAAGTTTCTTCTGGTGTTTCCAATTAAAAAAAAAAAGAACACTAATAAGATCTCACTATCCATGATATGATTATTTCACATTGCATGCCTGTATCAAAACCTCTCATGTACCCTGCAAATATATGCACCTACTATGTATCCACAAAAATTAAAAATTACAAAATTACAAAAAATAAGGAAAATAAATTTAGAGAATCATCTGAAGGGTGAAACTGAGGGGACATTGGGGGAACAGTTATTCTCCATTCAGCGTTGTCAGATTTAAGAAATAAAAATGCAAGATGCCCAGTTCAAATTTGAATTTCAGATAAGCCACATTTTATTAAGAATAAGTATGGCCCAAGTATAGCATAGTCAGTCTCAGTTTTTATTGTACTCCACTCATCCTGTTTCTAAATTGAGCAATTCCCATTACAATAACACCCTAGGCTTCCTTCTCTCTCTCCACTCTTTTCACTATAGGAACAAAAAGTGATTCATTTTACTTGTGGCTTGGGACAAGGAACGGGATAAGTGACGCTCAGTCCTTTCTAGTATCTCTTATAAGCTCCTGACTGCCGACGTTCCCTATTCCATTCTAATCCATGTGGTTATCTCAGCAATAAAGACCCTGACATGATTGTGAATCTCCACTGACTAGGAGAGAATAGAGAAGTCTCCACATCTAGGATGCAGTTATATGGAAGCCTTTTTTTGCTACTTCGAAGGCGCATTCCCCATTGGCTCAGTTAATAATAAAACATGCCATTTTTATTTCTATATGTTTACTTTTTTGTATCTCTCAATTGGTTCAGAAATTAGGTTGGAAAACCAAGAAGAATCACACACTATGAAGAAAAAAAAAAACATACTTATCCCTTGAATCCTATCATCCTGCATGACAATAAGGAGGTTCATTGAGAAAGCTGTTGTGAAATACAAATACTATAATTTTCTGAGAATAAGGTACACAGAAGAATTCAAAATTTTTAATTCATTCTTCTTGATGAGTTATTTGGAGACTGAGATTATATGAAACTTCACAAACTGAAATTGACAAGCTAAATGTATTGAATTATCTTTCAATTTTTGTTATTTTTGGATGCTATGCTTATTTAGGTAAATGCAAGGAATACCATTTCCTAAAACAGTTCACATAAAACAACAAAATAGAATGTGCTTTTATAGAGTATAATTTATGGGGATAAATTGAAACAATATGTGCACAGATATAGCAGATGACATAGTCGAGTAACACACCTGACTTTCTGATACAAAAAGTTGATAGTTCTTATGATCTATCATAAAAATATTTAAAATAAGACACTAATTCTTTCCTTTTGGGGATGCAGCTAATTAAAAACAAAATTAAAAATTAAAAACAAAAGCTAATTAAAAACCAAAAACATTTTATTTTGCTAAATCACTCTAATAGAACAGAGTTACACAGATAATTTACCCTGTGGCTACTCACAATTAGGTGAATGAGCTCACTTTGGCAAGGCATGGCCTCCATGTTCCTGTCTTTGTAACTGTGAATAGAGGCTAGGGCTAGGTTATAGCAAGCCAGGCACCAAGCAGACAGAATTTAAGGAGGCTATCACTCTCAGCTGCTGACCTGTGCACACAAAACACTGAGAGCGAGTGTCTCCTTAAGCACCTAGCTTGACTCATTCTAGTCCCAGCATTGCTCTGTGTGGATTAAGGTGTTAATAATAGAATAAAATTGTAAATTTTTACTCAACTTTTAACTTAAAATATGCAAAACAAAACAAACATACATCAAGAAATTCAAATAAAAGTAAATATTTGATAAAGACATTTTCAAATCGCTGATATTTTGTTTTAATTTCACTGTTGAACAGTTCACAGCATTAAACACTATCTGAAAAATGTTTTAAAGGAAACAACAAACATTTAAACTGACCATGGAAACTATTCATTAGCTTTATTCAATATTTATACTGCCTTTATGATTTGAAGAGTTTTTATATATTATTGATCATTCAAATTTAAAATAAAGGCCTACCTCATCCAAGCACCTAGAGCACTTATAAAGCAACTTTTTACAAGCAAAAATACTTGTAAGTATTTTTAATACTTTGAGCTACTTATCTGCACAAAAAAAGAGAAAGAAATTATAGGATTTTTAAAGACAGAGCTGTATTATTTATAATCATCCATTGGTATATTTTTATTTAAAAAGATACCCTTTTTATTGTTTTCTAAAATTAATATTTTGACCGTATATTTATTAAATATCTCTACTTTGCAAATAGTATTGTACTGAGTGTGGTCCCTGTATATAACACTTGCACTGAGACACAGTGGGAATTAGACAATAAGGTCTATGTCCCCATAGAGTTTGCATTCTAGGGATACAAAAAGATTATAAGCAAAACAAAAAATACATGCACATTTTTATTTGTGATAAATGCTATAAAAAGCATAAACATAATAATGTGACAGAGAAGACTTGTAAAAAGTCGAATGTAAAGTCAACTCAAAAAGCCCATCTGTGGAGGTATCCTTTGAAGGAAACCTGAAGGATGAGAATAATTCAGCCACTGGACAAGCCCAGGGGAGATAATTCCAGGAAGACAGAAAATCAAATGAGCCTCATGTGTGCAAGGTCTCATTCACTACCAATGAAGCTAGCTAGCAGTGAGTCAGAGTTGCATGACATTGGCAATGGGTAAGAAACAATTCGTAAAATAGTTTGAGCACATTACAAGGAGTTTAAGTTTTATGTTATTTATTAAATTGAAAAGCCCTTTAAATGCTTTAGGTAGAAAGCAACACTATTAAATTTGCATTTATCAAGAATAACCAGAATAAATCAGATGGTAACAGAAGAGGAAAAGGAAGAGTTAGGAGACTCATGCAATATTCCTGGTGAGGGATGTGGCAGCATGGACTGCGTGGTGGCAGATAAAAGAAAGGATAAAGAGAGGCAGAGGTACTCTTCTGATTTCCCCCATTCACAGATGAGTCACTCAAGGATAAAGAGTTTACTTTCAGTGGCCTGATGACAACCTGAGCTCCCAAATGCCAGGCTGGAATTCTTGCAGGATTCTGAATCATAAAGAACAAATTTCTCTTTTTCTTTCTTAGTTATGATACTTTATGTCACATACTTTTAAATACAAGTAGAAACTCATGCATTTTACCAATAAATGCATTTAATAAATTGAGGGACACATGATACATGAATGGAAGAGTTTGAAAACTTTACAACACAGCATATGATATATTTTCCTTCCACTTAACCTAAAAAGATCATTAGACAAAGTACTATGCTTCATAGATACCTTCTGGTTAAAATTTGTATTCTTTTTCATCTGAGTAACTAACTTCTGGATACATACATGTCTTTAGAGAATTCCTTTTAGAATTTTGTTTTTACTTTTAAATTCATCTTTGTAGAGCAACAAAATTACAGAGTTTCTGAATTAGAAGGAGATGTAGAGATTATTAACCTATCCCACCCTTTATTTTACCAATGAGGAGCTTGACAGAAAATGTGCTATAGAGAAGTGTACTGAATAGTTTGAGGTCATTCTTCCCTCAGCCAGTGACAGAAAGAGGAAGAAATTCCTTCCTAGTAAATACTGTGAGCACATGGAAATTTGCATAGTTTATAGTTTATTATAAATAATGTATCCCACGGAGAAATAAGCTTTTCCACTCTCCTTAGCTACTTGAACTTGAAGAAGTGTAGAATAATAAATTTAAGATAAGTGCCTAGGAAAAAGTGACTTCCCAAGGCAGGCCAACATTGCAGGAAAAGAAAATAATAAAATATGAAAGAAGATGACTTTGGAATTTGGTTTTCTTAATTCTTCTTCTTTTAGAAGTTATATAAACACAAATTGAAAGTTTAAATTATTAACATATTCTTTATTGTTTTCTGGTTATTGCAGACATTTATGATGATGTTAACATATAATAAAAATCTGCATACCTTGTATTCCATAATAAGTATCCAGTCATTTCTTATGCATTTTATTATTCTTATTAAATCTGGAGGTAAAAGAAAATCATGCTACTTCAGGTGCTGTTCTGGGTAAATATCTAGTCTGTGTATATAATATCTATCACAGACGACATCTGGCGCGGGATAGTAAATGGACATCTTACTATATGCAATTTTAACAAGGCCAATATCTTCCTGGGATATATTTCATACGTTAAAAGCAGTGTGAAGCAGACATGGGATAAGAGGATGGGTGCTGAGCCAAGTGTGGATTTTGTTAGAGTCTACAGTCAGCTATTAGGTAATAAAATAATAGCCACTCATTCACTTTTACCACCTTGGAGTAATTCCAAAGCCATGAATCTAATAGAACCCTGTGCATTGATGGTTTCAGTGGTTTCATTTGGTAACGAAGAATTAGGTTGAAGAAATATGAGTTAATGGTGTCTGCTAACCTCCACCAATAAAAACTCAATAGCTTTATTTTCTTCTGTGGAGAATCTGATATTCAATTTATATTCATGGGTTTCAAAGGAAAAAGAGTGAAAGTGAGGACAATCTGATATAAAAATGCTAAAAAGATTTCTTCTAGTATATCATTGAATTTTCAATGCTTCTGTCAGTCTGAGAACAGTCAGAACAAAAATATAATAATAACAAATAGCATGTCAGATGCTCAGCTGCTTTTTCCATCACAGGTGTGCCAGCCAGCTGGTGATATCACAAAGAGCAGGTTCAGATGGTGCAGTGATTTCCAAAAGAGAAGACAGAAAGAGTAGCCAGCATTTTTTTCAAACCATGGCTGCAAATTTTAATTGCTTAGGTAAATTTTTAAAAAATATGTATGTCCAAATTTCCAGAGAATCTGATTAAATAGTCTGCAAGTGGGAAATGAGTATCCTTTAAACTTTCCAAAATAATTATCTAATATATGGTTAAAGGGAGAACAAAATATTCATATAGGAAGATGCAGATAAAAGATGTCAATTATATTCTATTTTAAAGAAAAACTAAATTAGACATTTAAAATAATTGTAAACTCTATGTGGATCTCCTGACTGATATGAAGTAAACATGTTGATGCAAATTAATTTACATAATTTAAAATGGCAAAATTGACAGAAAAAAATGACAAACAAATATGCCAAGAGCTTTCACATACATTGTGATGACTTGCTTGGCTTTTCAGTGTATAGTGGATACCTACAATTCCATAATTATTTCCTATTTAAACACATTAGCAGGATAATTAAAGATGGGTTATAACAACAGTGACTGCTGTTGCTATTTTACTGACTTCTTACAACTTGAAATCATACACCCTCTCATCTCAAACTTTTAAATGTCTCAAATACTCGATTAACCTATATTAATGTCAAAACACGTGGCTGGATACATATGACGATCCAGATTGATAGGAATCTGTTATAACAAGGGGAATGTTTTGGAATGGATCCAGTTAGCCATGGAGAATCAAAGGTGAGAACATACAGGAAGCAGTGGGAAATGAGTGGGAGAAGATAATGTGGATATACAAGAAATATGTGGTCGTCCAGGCAAAAGACAATCAGGGCCTGGACTAGTTAAGTCAGGCAAGAATAAGAATGAAAGACCATGTTTAGAATAGATTTTTGAAGTACAATTTCTAAAAAACAAAATGGTGATATCAAATATAAAAACCAAATAAAGAGGTAAGAATAATTCTAAAGGTTTTGGTGAATGCTGAAGACATTTTCCAAAATAAAAAACAGAGACTGTGATATAAGGTCATTTGTAAGACAGTGGCACAGAAAAGAGAGGGAACACAGAGAACTAGCCTACAGAGATGAGCAAAAATACAAGTCCGTCCCTCATCAAACAAGGATGAGAAAGCATCCACCATGCTAAGATGCGAGAAGGTCAAAGCATGAACAATATGTCATTAATAAGTAGATATAACCATCGTGGCTCTAGACCCAAGGTACTTTACAATGAATTGTTATCATTCTATGATCTGTTGTTTGCAGACAGCATAGCAAGAGAAAACATTAAAGCCATAAGCAAAGAGGTCCACAGTTACCGTGTGTTTTTGGCATACTTGCGATTTTTGGGTGAACCATGAGTGACACAAACATAAAAGGTCTGTGGTGAGTTTCATTTTGAATACCAATGTTAAGTTTGGACTAAATGTAGAATCTGTAAAATCTGTGGAAACTTATCCTATGGCAAGAACCATTAACAGAAGAAAGGATGAAAATGATACATGAAAAAAAAAACCTGCATAATTGTTGAAAAGATTCAAATTGGTTTCTGAGTAAAGAATCCCCCCCAAAATTTGTAGTAATAAGCAATACAAATAATAAAATAATATAAATAAAAATATTTCTGTTAAATTCAGGAACAAGCAAGAATGCCCATTGCCAATAAAACTCTTCAGAGTTTATCCTGGAGACCACGGATAAAGTAACAAGATGAAGAAAAAAAAATGGAAAGTATAAAACAACCAATTTTGGTTAAAATTAAACTTGTTAATGCATGTAAATCTTAAAATAAGCTTGTTCAGCGGGTGGCCTGTGGGTCATATGTGGCCTACGACTGCTTTGAATGCCCCCCAACACAAATTCATAAACTTTTTTAAAACGTTATGAGATTTATTTGTGATTTTTAAAAATAGCTCATCAGCTATCATTAGTGTTAAGTCTATTTTATGTGTGGTCCAAGACAATTCTTCTTCCAGTGTGACTCAGAGAAGCCAAAATATTGAACACCACTGTCTTAGAGGATTAATTCAAGAAGGACAATACATAAAAAGTGTTCAAAATTTGGATTTCTTCAAAAGCAGACACCAAAAAGAACTAGTATTTTGGTAGTTTAATTAGAGATTGATCCTAAGAAACAAGAAAAATAGCCCTTGAAGAACAAGACAGAGAAGGAAGGAAACTCAATACAGAGCATCAGGTAGGCTGCTGCTGAGTTTGGTGGGGGCTCTATTTCACACAACCTCGGGAGGATTGTATAGACTTGATACCAAAAGAGTACACCACGAGCACAGGTGTTGGGAGCATTCATTATCAATCCCCATTCCTCATTGGCTGAGAGCTGCTTCTGATGATGTCATGTCCACACACTTACAAGCCAGGCACGAATCCAGGCTGTCCAAGTTCCCGTTGGCACTGTGACACTGGAAGATTCCCTAGCAAGAAGTGAAAATGCTTAAGATGGATGAAGCCTGAAGTAGGCAACATGAAGTGAGGCCGTTCCTACAAGGGACCATCCCCTCAGTGCAGGTGGAATCAGAAGTAGGGTCAAGCAGTCAGAGGCAGAGCTCCAGAGGAGTTAGGTACTATCAACAAACAAGCACCATGACTCTCCTTTACATCAGCAATACCAGTTAGAAAGTGTAGAGAACAAAGGGGAGACTTCATTGCTGTTCGCAGATGATTTATCTAAGAATAAAGATTGTATTTGCTATTGTGGTTTCCTACAAATGTCTCTTTTCTTCCTTGTTTTCCTAACCATGCTTTGAGTAATGCAATAGATTCATTTACATGGGGCATTTTTCTCACCAGTCTACACTGCTCTCCTGCCCCTCAGCACCATAACTTTTGTCAGGACAAATTTTAAAATCCTATCCATGCTTTAAGGCTCAAGACAGAACATCTGCTTTAGGACATATTCATGATTCCCCAGTTAAAATTCATTCTCATGTTGTCTTCTCTGATAAAAGTGGTCTAGCTTAACTCACTACAGTGTATTTCTTTTCTTTTCTTTTTTTATTTTTTAGTTTTGAGATGGAGTCTCGCTCTGTTATCCAGGTGGGAGCACGGTGGTGCGATCTCAGGTAACTGCCACCTCTGCCTCCAGGCTTCAAACCATTCTCATGCCTCACCTCCCAAGTAGCTGGGACAATAGGTGTGCACCACCACTCCCAGGTAATTTTTATGTGTTTTGTAGAGATGAGGTTTCACCATGTTGCCCAGGCTGGCCTCAAAATCCTGGCCTCAAGTGACCTGCCCACTTCAGCTTCCCAAAGTGCTGGGATTACAGGCGTGAGCCACTGTGCCCAGCCATGCACTGTATTTCTTTTACAGTCAGACCATCAACAACTTTAAAAGGAGTCTCATCTACATTACTTTTATACAGTGCTGGCTACATAATAATAGGGTGCAGCACAAAATGAAAATGCAGAGCTCCTTGTTCAAAAATTAGGAAAACAGTGCTGCAAAAGATACTAAGATATGAAGTTTTTCATTCCTTTCATGGTCTCTCTTGACTTGTCATGGTGCTTTTTACTTGCTATTTGATATCATTTTAAGTTTGTGAAAATAAAATTTTAAATTATTAGCCAAAATTGTACACTCCTCTTTACATATTGTGAAAGTATAGTTTGAAAACCAAATGTAAGAACATTTGACTCATATATGGAATCATTAAAATTACATAATTTATATTTCATAGCTTACACATGCACATGTATTTTATTCTCGCTAGAATAATGTAAACACTGTGCAAAATAAAATAAACTGTTTTTGTTGTATTTGATATGCACCTTTTCTGGCAACACCTTGTACTTGTGGTTTAATAATGTGGAAGACAGAACTGAAAAGAAAAGTATAGTTTGCCCTTTTCTTCCACATCATCACTTCAGCTACAGTGATTGGCTAATACAGAAAAGGAACATGAGTAACAAAGAATAAAAAAGTTCCCTGGTCACTTCATGCTCTTAGAACACCATCGCCTTCTTTCTGCAAGTTCAGGGTTGAATAGAAAGCTAGGCTTCTTGGTGTCATCAGCAACCTGCATAGTCCTACATGGAACACATGCTTGTCTTGTACTTGTTTTGAGTCCGGTTAACTCCTTCATGTCTTGGAGCCATTGGCATTCCATGATCAAAGTGCATTGCAAGGTAAAGCTTAATTCTGTGTTTACACACTTGCTCCCTGGACCTATGGGACTTTATTTAAGAAACGTAAGTTCAAAGATAAAATAAAAATTGTAATACAGCTACAGCAAAGCACAAACCAATTATGGGGCCTGTTGAGCACAGGGCCAGTGTGACCACACGTGCCACCTGCTCATCTGTAGAGCCAGTGCTGCTTCCATGCATGGTTCTGTAGCAGAGGCCCATTTTCCTAAAATGTCTGTTCCCTGACCCTGAGAGCAGGAGGTTGAAGAAATCCATTACATGGCTCAGCATTTTAGAGGAAAGCTTTGTCTCCAGAAAATACAAAGCAAACAACAACAACAACAAAAAAACTCAAGTTGCAGATGCTGAGTTTCTGCCTAGAGTCTCCACGAATTAACGGCCAATTTGCCAAAGGCACTATTTGACCTGGGGCTACAGCTCCAGTCTCTGCCTTGATTAGTGAATGTTTTTCTCTGTTATGGTGAGTTAAACTGGACACTTGCCTTTTTCTTCTTGTTTTTCATTTGTAAGTAATTGGTATTCAAGTAGCTACTTAAATTCCTTTTGGTCAACTATTGATAGAAATTGCCAAATCTCATTAAGAAAGTCATCATTTTGTTAGATTTTCCCAAACACTTTGCTCAACTGAATACAGACCTTTCTGAACCTTTTTTGGTGCATTTGTGTGTTCTGAGATTTTTAGTTCAAAGTGTGTTGGAGACTTTCTACGTAATAATATAAAATTGAATTCACTTCACTTCCACTTAATTAAAAATTTAAAAAGTGAGGGCCTACAATATGCTAAGTTGCCTTAGATTTGTAAGTCTTGATCATTTTCTATGAATAATGAGGATCTAATATTTAACAGAATTACCATGATAATTACTAAAAACTCAAACTATAAAAGCACCTAACACAATTGCTGACTCATGGTAAATACACACCTGAAAGGCGTGTGCAGAGGTCATGGGGCAATGCAGAGTGGATGAAGGTACTACCTCTAGTCTTGAGTGGCTTCCAATTTCAAATCTGGTCAGTGAAAAATATGGCATGATAGTGTAGTGGTATCGAGCAAATGTAACTTCATAACTTTATATGAAGGTCTGCCACTGAAAGTAGCTAAGGCTCATTTTATACATGCATGCTTACATACATGCATATATACTTCTAGTTGACCCTTGAACAATGCAAGGGTTAGAGGTGTCAACCCCCAGTGCAATTGACAATCCTCATATTGTTACAGGACCCCACCACTTACCCAAAGTTGGTGGTTTCCTCACTATAGTCCCTTCTGTGCTCACCAGAAATATGTTACAGGATCCCACCACTTACCCAAATGTAGCTGCTGGGTCGAGGTTTCTGCACTATAGTCCCTTCTGTAGTCATCAGAAATATGTTACAGGAAAGGGATCCCAATCCAGACACAAAGAGAGGGTTCTTGGATCTCACGCAAGAAAGAATTCAGGAAGAGTCTGCAGTGCAAAGTCAAAGCAAGTTTATTAAGAAAGTAAAGTGGTGAAAAGACAGCTACTCCACAGACAGAGAAGGAAGCTCCCGAAAGTAAGAGGAGGAACGCGTCCACCCTAGGAACAATGCTTGTATATATGGGGAGATGTGCTCTGTTACAAGGGTTTGTGATAAAGGATTAATTTTCTTAATTACTATATTTTGCAAGAATCAATATTATTATCTTTAAAGCAAAATTAGGAATGCCTTTGTTTTCTGGATATTGGGATATCTGGACACTCCCACGTCTGGGTCAGTTTAGTAAACATTATTAATTTGTTCCCTTACCTGTAAACATCTAGAGGCCCAGAATGCTTAACTTTCTGGGAATGCAGCCCAGCAAGTCCCAGACTCATTTTCCTAGCCCTCACTCAAAATGGAGTCACTCTGGTTTGAGCACCTCTGATAATATTACCTTTGACTTTCCAAAAAACTAAACTACTAATTGCCTACCATTGACCAGAAACCTTACAGATAACAAGGCAGCTGATTAGATACATAAGAATACATATGATACATATAAATATGTTATATTTATATGTTATATGTACTAGATACTATCTTCTTATAATAAAAATAAGCTAGAGAAAATATAATGTTGTTAAGAAAATCCTAAGGAAGAGAAAACATATTTACCACACATTATGTGAAAGTGAAGCAATGTTAAGGTCTTCATCCTTATCTTCACACTAAGTAGGCTGAGGAGATGGAGAAAGAAGAGATGGTGGCAGAGGAGGAAGAAAATCATCCTATACTTGGACCTGCATGGATCAAACCTGTGTTGTTCAAGTGTCAGAGGCATTCGAACCAGAGTGACCACATTTTGAGTGAGGGCTAGGAAAATGAGTCTGGGACTTGCTGGGCTGCATTCCCAGAAAGTTAGGCATACCTACCTCTAGATGTTTATGGTTAAGGGAACAAATTAATAATGTTTTGTTTTGTTTGAGATGAAGTTTTGCTCTTGTTGCCCAGGCTGGAGTGCAATGGAGTGATCTTGGCTCACTACAACCTCTACCTCCCAGGTTCAAGCGATTCTCCTGCCTCAGCCTCCCGAGTAGTTGGGATTATAGGCATGCACCACCATGCTTGGCTAATTTTGTGTTTTCAGTAGAGATGAGGTTTCTCCATGTTGGTCAGGCTGGTCTCAAACTCCTGACCTCAGGTGATCGGCCCGCCTTGGCCTCCCAAAGTGCTAGGATTACAGGCATGAGCCACTGTGCCCAGCCTAATGTTTGCCAAATAGACCCAGACTTGCGAGTGTCCAGATATCCTGATATCTGGAGAAAAAAGGCATTCCTAATTTTGATTTATAGATAAAAATATTGATTCTTGCAAAATATAGTAAATAAGAAAATTAATCCTTTATCACAAACCCTTGTAACAGAGCAAATCTCCCCATATATACAAGCATTGTACCTAGGGAGGGTGTGTTCCTCTTCTTACTTTTGGGAACGTCCTACTCTGTCTATGGAGTAGCTGTCCTTTCACCACTTTACTTTCTTAATAAACTTGCTTTTGTTTTGCACTGTGGACTTGCCCTGAATTCTTTCTTGCCTGAGATCCACGAACCCTCTCTTGGGGTCTGGATCAGGACCCCTTTCCTGTAACACAAGGGCCAACTGTGTATATATATAACATACACACACCCTTTTGTACCAGGCACTGTGCTAGGCATTGGGGATACACTAATAAACCAGAGAAACAAAATTGCTGCCTTCATGTACAATAAACATGTTTTTGCATGTATATTTCTCATCTGTAAAACTGATAGAATAATATGTACCACTCTCAGTTTCACTGTGCAGTTAAAACAAGAGGACTTGGGCAAAAACTTTACAAAGTGTTTTTCTTTCAAATACTCATTGATTATTTATTGTGTGTCAGTCATTATTTTAGAGATTGAGAATGCAAAACAGTAAAATATGCAACCCTTTAAGAGCTAAAACCCTAGGAAGAGAATGGGTAGATATGAAAAAAATAATTTCTATAGAATGAGATAATCAAAAGCACAGAATGCATTGACAGGTAATATGAATGTTTAGTGCTGTGTAATAGGATTTGTATTCCGAAATGCTTGACAAAGGTGTTTGATATTTGAACAGAGCTTGAAGAAAGGTTTGCCTGAGGGATCAAGGGAGAAGAAGTACTACAGATACAGGAAACATTACAAATAATCTCGTGTGTATGTGTGTGTGTGTGTGTGTACAGAAGGTCCTACATACCTAGACAGAGTGAAAGAGTTAAAAAAGAGAACTTTTTTTTTTAAAAAGACATTAATCTCTTGTTAAATTTAAAACCTATCAGTCTCATGGATTCATTATAATGGGCATAATGTTTCCTTGTGCAACTATCTCCCTATGAAACAAGGTTGGTCTCTATTTTCTCCTATGATCAACACATATTGAGTGTCTAAGATGTCAGATGTCTTGTCAAGTGTTTGGTTACAGAGATAAGTAAGACATTGTCTTCAGTCATTCTGCCATCCAGTGGTGAGAACAATAAATAATTGATATAGAAGAGTATATTTTTCAATATTGTTTTACAATTGCAAGAGAGAGAATTTCAGCTCATATTAGCCTTAGCAAAACAAAAACAAAAAACAAAACAAACAAACAAAAACACAGAAAGTGTAAGTCACATGAAAGGGCAGAGTGAGGGTATTTTCAGAGAAAACTGGATCCAGGGTCTTGAAGATCAGGAGTTTCTCTTTTTTTTTTTTTTTTTTTTTTTTTTTTTGAGAGTCATCTTAATTCTCTCTAACTGCCACGGAACAAGACTATAGGAAGAAAGGCTGATACTTTCATCAAGCTCCAGTTTGGAAAGCCCAGGGAATATCTCCGATTAGCTGAATTTGAGTACATGCACAGATCATATTTATCAACCACTGTGTCCAAGGGAGATGCTTTCTCCTGGATCAAAAGCCTACCACACAGATGCTGGAAGAAGCTTCAGAATTTTTCCATATTAAAGGGATTCAGGCATAGATCCACTTAGAATCATGGTTAGAAAGAGACTGGCTTGGGAGAGGCGAGGTTAAGGGAAGTGGCTTTGCAACTCAGCATTAAGATTATGTAAGACTTAAGCAAGGGAGGTGGGGCAGGATGATGAGATTTAGGAGGTTAGGGCAGTTTGTACAGAAGTACCTAGAAATATACACCATAGTAGCTCCAATAATTGATCATAGACCGGGAATAAGATGAAAAAACTGCACCCTTGAAAAAAATGAGTAATACTATAATAAAGTTAGTAGTGCACTATTAATGTGCCTCTCCCAAATGCAGACTGAAGCTAAGACAGTATTATTAATGATATAGTTTATTAATAATCAACATTTGAAATATGCATATTCTAAATACTTTACACAATAAACTCTTCAAGTTTTAATTATATTTAATGGCAATGTATTGATTTTAAATAGCAAAATTAATAACAAAAGAAAACTTAGTAATATTAATAGTGCTTTGATGTAGACTTTGTCTGCATATGATTACAGATTTGATTAGGAGTTTTCAAATCCAAATCCCATTCAAATTCTATTCAACTTCTCTGCATCACAGTAGGGTCAGAGCATAGTATTGGCAATAATTTATGAAGATACCTCCAACTGTATTGATGTTAGACAACAGCCAGGCATTCAGTTTGGAATTTCTTCCTTCTTATCTAGTCACTCTGACTCATTTTTCAGATTCAACTCAAATAGTACCTATGCTGTAATTCTATTTTTAATCTTCTTATGCATTTTTCAACCCTCAGAACAGATGACTTTGCCTATTCTACACTTTCAAGGTAGTACTTAATGCAATAATTTCTAATTTCTTACTTACTGTATTTTATTATCAAGCTGTTGCAGCCCAATTGGTTCTTCTTGCCTACTGACCCCAAAAGCCAATACAATGAGAATAGCTGGTGTTGCAGCAAAGAAAGAGTTTAATAATATCATGGCCAGCCAAGTGAAAGGATGAGAGTTAATTCTCAAATCTACCTCCCCAAGAATTCAGAGGCTACAATTTTTCAAGGACAGTTTGGTGGGCAATGAAATAGGGAAGGTGAATGCTGACTGGTTGGGTTAGGGATGAAATCATAGGGGTCTGAAGCTGTCTTCTTGTGCTGAGTCACTTCCTGGGTGGGTTATTGGTCCTGGTGGCACCAGTTGGTCTATCAGAATGAAAGGTCTAAAAGATACCTCAAATATCAGCCTTAGGTTTTACAATAGTGGTGCTATCTGTAAGAGCAAGTGGGGAGGTTAAAAATCTTGTGACTTTTGACTACATTAATCCTGAACACTAATTCTAACCTTGTGACTAATGTGTTAGTTTTACAAAGGCAGTTTCAGTTCCTGAGCAAAGAGGTTATTCATTTTGGGAAAATAGTATTATCATCTTTGTTTTAAAGTTAAACTATAATCTAAATTCTTCCTATAGTTAGCTTGGCCTGTGCCCAGGAATGAGCAAGGAAAGCTTGCAATGTTAGAAGCAAGATGGAGTCAACTGTGTTAAACTCCTCTCACTGTCATAATTTTTGCAAAGGGTTTTGAGACTAGCATTTCCTGGACATGCAATCAACTTATTTATCTCTGGATCTTATGATATAGGACAGAACCTGAAATACATTTATATAATAAATACATGTCTACAAATTCACAAATGAACAAATGAATCAGTTTTGTTCTGATTTATATGCTTTAGAGAAAAAGATATTTTTCATTGAGATAGGTTCTTCTCCCTTTCCCTCCACTACTAACACCTCCACTCTAGCTGGTATACAGAAGGGTCAGGACAGAAATTATGAGAAATAATACTATAGTTCCTAATCTAGAAGAATAAGTTAAAATATCTACATTAGAAGGCTTTCCTGAGAGCTTTGAGTTAGTAAAATCATCAGTGAGTACCCACAGTTTCCTATGATGGACAAACAGAATGAAGTAACTGACACCTTCATCCAAGCAGAGACTGAATTGGTAGAACTTAATTTGCGGTTTTGTAAAGCTATGTCTACCTCTAGTCTCCCTAACCCTGGAGCATAGCACTTTAGGTCTTTCAACTGAAAGGATTACTAGGATCCCCCTACCCCTCTCCAATCAGAGTTGGAGTAAATTCTTTGTATATTCTAGCTCTCTGAGCTTTAAACATTGTCACACCTGCCTGGACCTTCTGCCAAACATTCTACACCCCTCTCTGTCTTAGGGCAGCCTCCCTGTGCTGGTGGAAGCCCAGATACACAGTTTCTTACTTCCTCCACACGCAGCATTGGCCAATGTCTCCAGTCACAAGTCTTCTTCTAATTACAACTTCGTCTATACTCTTCACAAGTTTAGTCATTGCTTGTGTAGCCCTCTGATATTTTTAAATGGATTTTTAAAATCCTATCCAATTTTCTGGGTGTACTCGGGTAGAGCATTTTTTATGTTGCAAGCTACTCTACCCTACCTTGAATGAGAAGCTCTCAGGTGACATTTCATAAGTTTTTATGAAATGTCTTCAGAAGGAAGACAGCTTTCATGATACTTTAATTTTACCCCAGTGAGACCTATTTCAGGCTTCTGAACTCCAGAAGAATAAGGTAACAAATCTGCATTGTTTTCAGCAACTAAGTTTGAGGTAGTTCGTTACAGCAGCAAGTGGAAATTAATACAGGCATACTGCATTTTCCAAAGATAATGGCAACAATTTCTCCTAAATCATGTGCTAATCTTCCAGTGATATTTCAAATCTCTTCCCATCAAAAGTTAAGTTTTCTGTACCCTCACCACTATAGTGGAAGTGATATTATATATATGAATTAACAGGCTAGGTATTCAGAGGTGATGTAGCCTCCTCTTGGTTCTCTTGGGGACGTTTACTTTTGTTGCCCAGCTGCTATACTGTGAGGAAAGCCAAATTTACACATATAAGGACATCAAGTGCATAGGCCATGTATAGATGCTCCAGCTGACAGTTCAGCTGAGGGTCTAGAGTGCAGGTGAAATCAACTGTAATCACATGAGGGAAAACACCTCCAGATATCTCCAGCCCGGGCTGCTGATTCACTCGCAGTCTTCAGTCTCCTCAGCTGAGGACCCAGGCATGGTGACACAGAGACCCATCCTCCCTAAAACCCATGCCTAAATTTCTAAACCACTGAATCCATAAGAATAATAAAATGCTCTTTTATACCACTGCATTTTGTGAGGGTATGTTACACAGCAACAGTAACTAATACACAAGAGAGATGATGCAAAAGTGGAGAAAAAAGTAGGTATACTACAACAAAAAATATTTTCGCGCAAATTAACAACTAGAAGATACAATTGAGGGATCACAAATAATAGTCTATCATACCTGCATCATTTAGGCATTTGGGGGTCAGAACAGACAACAGCTATGATGTGAGTTAAATCATCCCAAGCCTGGGTTCTTATTAGATAATACAACTTGGGCCAAAGGTCCAATAATATTGTCATGCAAAAGACCACTAGGATAGCTAGAGAGTAGAAAGGAGAGCTTTTGGTGATATCAGTTTCCAAAAATGGGAAGAGACAGTCTCCATCAGGTGCTGAAAGTGCTCTCTCTTCAATAAGCGAAAGGACAGGTTGGGTTTTATGCCGCATGGAGCCTGCCTCATATTACAGAGTAATACATAAGCAACAGGTTTGGGGAGAAAGCTATACATATTTTGAGGGAGATGCAACGCATGCACAAGGGGTAAACTTATACATAACATACATCACATGTTCACATTGGGGTGGGGTTTTAGCATTAAAATGAGGAGAAATTTGGCTCTTTACATCAAAAGGAGAACTATAGGACAAAAGGACCATTTGTGCACAGCCTCCATAAACTGATTGAAGCAGGCTTAACGTCTGCAGTTGCTTATCAGAAAATAATGTCTGTAAGGCTGGTCCTCTCTCCAGTCATAATTGTAGTGGTCTGGGTTGCAAATTGCAGCTAGGAGGGGTTTGATAATTTGTCTAATAGTTCCTACTGTGAGAGAGTTTAGCAAGAGTGTGATTTTTCTTATAGCCATAGGAACTTAAGAAGTTGCCATGCCAGCAACTCTGAACCTTGAACTTACAGGTGTCATTTTTGTCCTCTTAACCTTAGGGTGTGTTTTAGTGGATAAAGGGTGTCTATTTTGGTCATCTCTCAAATTATAATATGGAAAAGGCCATAGTCAGGAGATGAAACAAAGAGCTGCCACATATTATGAATAAAGCATAAAGAAAGGCAAAGGAAATATGCTAAGACTGAAACAGGACAAGGGTGCCAGTTCCTTTGGATAGAGATTTTAAGATAAAGAGAATCAAAGCTGAACAGCAGCTCTTCTACAGGAAGGATTATGTCTGTGTGCTTTTCTAAATCCACCATGTTATTCTCAGCCTTCATATTCTTAAAGATGTTTTAAGGCAGTGCTACCATCCTAGTCCACAAAGAAAGCAGTTTGTTTCCTACAAGTTACAAATTAAATAAGTGAATTACTGCAAGCTCGTCAAATTATTTTAAGCCACTTCTTCAAATGTCCCTTCTACCATATCCCCTCTACTTTGTGGCCATGGAGGGATTCTCATAGTATCTCATATTCTCTCTATAAGGTCACAGATAATTTATTTTCACTTTCCTACAGATGTATATGTCCTATGGATGTAGGAATTTTTTCTTCACTGCTCATCTTATGCAGAGTCCTCAAGTCCTATTTTCTACATCTACCTGTCATATGAGTTCTCCCCAAAGCATTCTATACCATAACTAGATTACATACCACCTTAAGTAAAAAAGTGAGATGTGAATGGTCATTGTTTTCCCCTCCAAAAGTAAGTATCTGGGTCCCTGTAGGACCATGGAATCAATCATAAACCAATTTTGCAAAGCTAAGATAATATTCTGCAATACAGTATTTGAAACTTAGCAAAGTACCTTGCATATAGTAAGTGCTCAATGAATACTTGTAAATGAATACTGATTTTTATTTTTATTACTGCTGGAACCATTGCAACCCTAAAAGTAGTCTGTCTTCACAGCTAGACTGTGAAAAGGAATCCTGTCTCATTCATCGTTAGATCTGCCTCAGAGCTCAGCACAGGACCTGATGCGTACTCAATGGATGTTTGCTAAATATGTATCCTCAAGACATCCTCCTCTGGGCATATGTGAAAGATCTCCTTTGTACAACATGCTCACATCCACCTACAGGCAACAGTCAGTAGAACAATAGCCTGGATGCAGCAGGCTGTTAAAGATCTGTCTCCAAGGAAATACTGCCCAGTACTAAAATGACTCACCACCGAAAGGTGCGTTTTATGGTGTCATTTTTCCTCTGTAATATTTTGTGCCACATTAAATTTTATCCATATCAATTGATATTCTAAATCCAAGCTTAAAGGCAGAAGGCCAGGGAGGGGGTTATCATTACCATAATACTGGGAGCAATGATTGCATTCAGCAGTGAAATAAGGATACAGCTTCAGTGTTAACATGTGGTAATTAACTGGGAGAAAGCTTTCTCCTGGCCCCAGGTGAAACAGTTAAATTCCGAGTCAAGATGCCGGGCTGGAGAGAAGATAGAATAAAGATGCTTCTAACTCTCTTATCTATCACGTTAGCGAGTGCTCTCTGTGGAAAAAAAGTTAGAGATCATTCTTTGAGGAGCTGGAGGAGGGATTTGGTTGTACTTCCTTTTTGGTTCATTCATTCGTTAAATCATTTTATCTACATAGAGATGAGTATCCCCACATTAAATTTATCTCCTACCCTTGCCTATTCCCCAAAGTTTTCCCTTGAGTGCCCTGTAATGTACCACACATAACACATAACCAGCAAACTCCATTCCATTCTTCTTTTCACTTGTAAATGAAAAGCAAACACCTGGATCACTCCTGAGGACTCCACTTCTCCTATAGCCCTGGTCTGCAGAAGGGACAGGTGATTTCTTCCCTGTTAGAAATTCTAGAAGATCCCCCCTCTCCCCTAAGAAACATTCTGAAGTTGTAAATTATTTCACTCACTACCCCTCTTGGTCCCCCTCATTTATATATTTGTTGCAAATATTGCAGCTATTTCAATACTTGAGGCAAATTCTCAATTCCTTGAAGATTTCAGCATCTGCAATGATGTTCCTCCTCCCATACTGTTTTTGTCCATAATGCACAGTGATTTCAGTATCCCCATCAACAATTACTTCAGTACTTTGGCTTTTCGCTTCTTGATCTGTCGTGCAATGATCTTGCTCTCCAACTAACTACTACCCAAGCCCATGGTCACACCTCAGAACTTGTTATTGCCAATAAGTGCCTAACTTCAGCTCTCCTAAATTTAGAGAGGCAGTTCTAATTCTCTCACTCTTCAACCTGCCTAAAACAATTACTTGATCATGAAGGAAATTTCATTGAACCTACCACATTTCTGTTGTCTGTCCTTTATCATTATGTTCTCCCTTCACTCTGTATTCAGAACTTATATTTTATTTATTTTATATGATATTTGTTAGAGTAGGAAGATAGACATGAGCAGGAGCCCCTGAGAAAAGAAGGTCTGGAAAGTCTCACACCCCACAGGCCAGCCAAAACATGCATACTAGATAGGAGCAGAGAGGAGGGGAAGTACCTACGCAGAAAGGAATGCCCCCAAATGCCTGATAAGATGCCCAGTAATTGCTCACCCTGTAAAACCTGTCAGAATGCAGCTAGCTACATGGTCATAAGAATAAAAGAGGACAAAGGGGAAATTCCTAAGAGATATACAGTACATAAAGTACAGATTTAACCACTATATGACCATCCAGGGATGGTGGTAATGAGCAAAGTCACCATTAGGTAGGATTCGCATCCAGCATGGGGCCTACATGTCCCATCAACTGACAGTAAGAGTGAATCCCAGGAACCTGGGACAGGACTAGGTAGGGACTAGGCAGAAACTTAGGACAGAAGTGGTAAACTGACACCAACAAAGGCAGAGACTTGAGACAGAGTCAGGAACTTCAAGACTCCAACAAAACAAAAACCTCAGTGCAGAACTCTCACGGCTGCTGGCTGGCTCTTTTCCCAGCAGGCTGCTCTGCCTCATCTTTAAGTGTACTCTCTCTGTGTCTCTTTGAATAAACTCAGCTACTACTTAACCCTTGCTGCTACTTGTGTTCCCAGCGGGGCCAGCCCACTCCTCTCTTGGAGTGGACTCTTATCACCTTAATGAGTCTTTGCTTACTTTCATAATGGGTCTCTTGGCCATAACTTTTCTCCCAAGAAGACATCTTTTTTTTTTTTTTTTTTTTTTTTTGAGACAGAGTCTCGCTCTGTCTCCCAGGCTGAAGTGCAGTGGCATGCAACCTCCGCCTCCCGGGTTCAAGTGATTATCCTACCTCAGCCTCCAGAGCAGCTGGGACTATAGGCGCACACCACCATGCCCAGATAGTTTTTGTATTTTTAGTAGAGACAGGGTTTCAACATATTAGCCAGGGTGGTCTCAAACTCCTGACCTCGTGATCCACCCGCCTCGGCCTCCCAAAGTGCTGGGATTACAGGCATGAGCCATCGTGCCTGGCCTGAAATACATCTTTAACACTTTTGTTGCTTCCCCTTTATCTGACTTAAGTAAGCTAATTTTTGGCCCTCGCCAAATTCAATTGTGCCTCCTCTGGATCTGCATCTGGACAACTGAATGTGGACTGAAAAAACAATCCTTAAAATCATGTTGAGTGCACCCAAATTAAAATCATGACCTCTACATAAGTAAATAAAGGTGGAAGATAAAGCTATTGAAGAGGCAAATTGAATGCAGTGCTAGAATAGATCATTAACACTCACACAAGGCATTGTCATGCTGGAACACTATTGACTCCAAAAGGGATGACATCATGTCCAAGAGGCCAAAGAAGATACCCAGAGACAGCAAACAAGACATAGCATTTATTGACAGGACTTACATTCAAGGGCAGTCCAGCAGAGGTGTGCTGGACAGGAGAACCACATTCACTTGTGAAAAGCATGCAGTTTACATCACATTTTTACTCGGCATCCTCCAACTAGAAACCTCCATTTAACTCAGAACAAAGGGCCTCGATTCCCTGTAGGGATTGGGTTCCAAGAGATAGGCCAAGAGCTCAGATATCCTTCGTAGATACGGAGTGAATCTTCAGGTTGGCCTCTTAGCTAGGAATTCCTTAGCTCAGAATTCAAAACACGCAGTCTTCATAGACCCTGAGGTCATTCTCAAGGTATGCTTAAGTTAAGTTATTGCTGTCCAGTTTGTTTGCCATATAGGCATTATGTATCAGGCATTTATTCTAATTGATTTATACATATTCACTTTTTAAATTAATACATTCACCTTATAGATAAGGAAACAGGTAAAGACCTACTCTCTGACAACAGAGAGAGGAATCAAGATAGGAGCCTATAACAGAAAACACAAGTTAAAAATAAGAAACTTCATTCTCCCTATTGTTAATAAAAATACTTCCTCCTCCCTCTCTTTTCTCAGAATATTTACTTTGGAAAATATATGTTATTTTTCTGTGACTTTGATCACTGTTATGAAATGGTAAGTAAACCTCTTGTCAGTGTCAAACCCCAGGAATGTCTTTCTTAAGGACCACAAAACCACCTCTTCAAAATGAAATTTTCAAGGAACATAGCAGCATTATATCCCAGAGGGTGCCTCTCTTTAAGGCACAGAACTACCTTCTCTCACAAAGATGCGAGAAGTTTATGTTTCCTTTGGATAATGCCAATTAGCTAACAAAAATTGGCCACCCCAATTACCAAGAGAATCTAATATAAACATGTGTGACAAATGGCACCTCAAGTTTCCTTACTTGACTACTAGTTATTGCTTGAGAACATGTATGTAATAGATTCTATTTGTTGGGCTGTATAAAAGAACAAGATTTAGTTTTGGTCTTCGCAGTCTCTAAGCAGATTGCCTGTGATGTGCATCACATTCTGGTTTATTGCTTATTCAACAATAAAATTGTTTCCCATTTCTTCTCTCTTCCTGAAAAGATTTTATGGATTGGAAGAATATTT